>NC_000007.14:113718900-114021930 GCF_000001405.40 Homo sapiens | reverse complement strand
ATTCATCTGACCATTGTTGCCTTGGATGACCTTGACTTGGCCTGTCCTTGCTAGTTGACTGTCTACTTCTCTTAAACTCACTGGCTTCATAGGCCTTGGGCTTAAGAACCTCAGGGTACTTTCATGTTGCTCCTATTTATTACAGCTCTGTTAGCTTGACTCTTTACTATTTTATTTGGCTCTATCTTGCTTTTAATTCATTACATATAGAACCATTTGCCTCAATCTGTTGACTTCCTAGACTTGTGTGTAGTCTTCCAGGCTCCTTAGCTTCATGGCTCCTTTCCCTGAAGAAACACAGGGAAAGACACATGGTGGAATGCTGTGTGTGTAAACTTTTTTTTTTTATCAGTAGGATCAATATTTCATAAGCGCTCTAGTAAATGAAAGTTAAATCAAGGCTGTTCTAATTAAAGCTGAGTGTATGTCCCAGAACAACTCTTGCTCAAATCTGCCCTTACCTCTCTAGCAGCCCCTTGGACAATTCCTCAGAACCCTGGAGCTTTATGGAGCACAGTTAGATACTGTTATAGGGTGAATAATGTGTACTTTGTGAAAGCAGGGTTTAAACTCTAATTTTATGACTCACTGGCAATATATTTGTCTTCGGACAGATTGTTTACTTTTTACGAGCCTTATATTCTTCAGTTATAAAAGATAATTACTTCAATTACTTCATGGGCTTGTTAGCATCAGATAATGTGTCAATGCAAAGCGCAAAGGGCATGGGACTCTCAAAACCTGATGATTTTCTTGCTTTTTGCCACAGGTAGGCCTTGATAGACAATTTATGAAACCAAAATAAAATCACAGAATTCATACAATAGGGAAGGGTTGAGAGCTATCTAGTCCAGCCTCCCTAGGGAGTTCCTTTCAAAATGTCCACATTAGATAGTAACTGCTTTAAGATTGCTTAGAGACTGGGGGCTCTTTTTTTCCTCCCTTTTTTTTTTTTTTTTTGGTGATAGATTGTTTCACTTATCTATACCTCAGACTGAGTAAAAAATCTGAAGATTTTTTTGAAGATTTATTCTTTGGAACAACATATATTATGTAGTCATTCAAGGTTTAATGGTAATCATTCAAGTTTTAAAGTCCGGTTACCAAGGGTTAGATAAATTATGATCACATTTTGTTTAAAAGGTAAATAAACATACTCATATATGTGTGTATGTGTATGTGTAGAGAGACAACGCCTGTCAAGATGTATGTAAAAATTATTGGGGTTCACTGTGTATTGGTATTATAAAAACATTTCTTCTTTATAAAAAATCTCTATCAAATGACTTTTTCATTTAATAAATATACTTTCGCAGACACTTTTTTTTGGTCTTGATCCTCTTAACAATTGTTAAAAATAGGGAGGGAAGATGTTATCTTCATTCTCCACTCTTACACATGCACAGACACTCACACACCCACTCCACACCCATGTCCCTCCCAAGCTGGAACTCAAGAGGGATGAAATTATTTTGTGAGAGTGATTCTGAGGTTTATTGGGAATGGTGGAAGAAGAATTAAACTCAGATCTTCTTACTCTTCTTCCCACCACACCTTTTGTTTTGGTTTTGGTTTTTTAGTCTAAATGTCCCCATTCCCTCAGCTCTGTCGCTTTTGACATAACTTACAGGATTCCTATCATTGGGTCATTATTCCCTGAGTGCATTCTTGTCTGTTAACTTTCTAATTAAAATGAGGTATCTAGATCTATGCATAATAGTAAGGTATAATCTGAAAAGCGCATAATACAGTTTATTACCTTCCTTGATTAGGACATTACACATTTATTAAATCAAGACATAACACTTTTATTAAATATGCATACATTTCAGCTAATTTAAAAACAATATTTTATATTTTCATTATGAAAATGATAAATGTTCACTGTGGGACATTTGAGAAGTATAGGCAAGGAAGCAAAAAATTACTCATGTATCACCCATAGTTCCTTTACCCAAAGATAACTTCTCTAAATAGTGCATTTTGTGTCTTCCCCAACTAGAAAAGAAGCTCTATGGGGACAGTATTTTGATTTATTTTGTTCAATGTTCACTGCATGTCAAGATCATTACTTGGTCTATTAGTAGGCACTTAATCAAATTTGTTGAGTGATTGAATAAAATATTCATATATATACTTAGCATGTTTAGTACACAAGGGGACTTGTAAAATTTTGTATTTTGACGTTTTCCAGCTTATATTAAGCTATTTATAGTATTTGATTTTTATGTTATCATAAATTCTATCATCATAATGATTGCATAATGATCTATTGAGTGAATATACTGTCCTTTTATTGGACACCAGATTTTTGTTATATTTTGCTTCAATAACAAATAGTGCTATCGCAGATATCTCTGCATATTTTTATAATTTTTGATAAAGATATTTTTCAGGTATTTCTAAAGTGAAATTATTGGTTCAAAGATATGAACAGTTCAAAAGAAATATTCCTATTACTTCTCCACAGTTATACAGAGTTTGAGTATATATTGAATTTGTGGTCATCCACTGTCATTAAATATCCAGCTATTTTTTACTTCAAAGTTTACATATATGTGCTTTAGGTATGTTATGCATGCAGTATGAATTCATGTTACTGTACCATTTTTGTTTATATTTTCTCTCACTTTGCAATAGCAACCACTTCTTTCTTGCTGGTCAGAACTAAGTAAGGGTTCCACTTTTTGCTTCTACTACCTTTTGAGAGATGAGATTGTCAGCAAGACAAGTTAAGAATTTATCTGATGCTCAGCTTTTTAGTATAATTAGATTTCTAGCAGATGTCTTTATAGTGTAACTGCCCCATTAATGCTATATTTTTTTCTCTATGACAGATTTTTAATCTATATTAAGAAAGCAATGTCCATATCTTTTGTCAGGCTGGGCAGTCTCTTACAGGCTCTTACACTGTATTCCTATAGTTTCTGTCTCTTCAAATGGCTTTCATCTTTACCCATCCACGGATTTCCAAATGGAAACTATCCTGGTTAAAAACAAAGCATAAATATTTTTCATAAAAAGAAAAACATAATGCATATTTAGGTCTAATTTTAGAGGTCATATACCTCAGTTATAGAAATCCTAAGAATGCTAAACAGGATAAAGAAGAAACCACCAAGTAACCCCCAAATCCTACAGTTTTAGAGATTGTATCTGTTAACATTTTGCTCTATTTCATCTAGATTTCTTTCTCTCTCTCTCTCTCTCTCTCTCTGTGTGTGTGTGTGTGTGTGTGTGTGGGTGTGTGTATGCTGGGTATAGCTAACTATATGTGCAACTTTTACCTTGAGATTATTATTTAATATTTATTATAAGCATTTCCCTAAAACTGTAACAACTTTTGAAAAAAAGGCTAATTTAATTAATGTATAAATTTCACCATAGAGGCAGGCTATGGCTAATTTAATCATATTCTTGCATTTTTATTTGTTTCAGTTTGTCCCTAATAAAGATAATTTTTCCACAAATTTATTATGTAAATCTGTATATACACCTGTGATAAGTTCCCCAGATAGATTCCTAGACATAGAATTACCTGGAGAATATGCTGCACAATTTTAAGCTGTGCCTCTATGTTCCTATATTCCTGAACTGTGGCCATCACTGAGTTTTTGTAATCTTTGCTAATTTTATAGGTGAAATTGATGTTTTACAGTTTTAATGCTCATTTGATTACTAGTAAGGATAATTATTTTCTATCTTTTAGGCCACTTTTATATTTTCTTAATTTGAGATCTGTTATCTTTACTTGCTCCTCCCATGTGGGAACCAGCTATATAGTTATATTTATTTATATATTTTTCTTTCAATGAGGTAGTTTTAAACTTAGTTTTTATTTTATAAAATTAATTCATGTATATATTTTTGAAATGAAATATTACAATGAGGCTTACAACCAAGAACAGCAGCCCTAGGCTCACTCCTACCCTCTACCAATTCTATTTTTTCAGAGGCATCCACTTTCAACCATCTTAACTATTCATCAGCTATTTCTTCCATATTTCTGAAGAACATGCTAAGACAGTTAATGAAAATATTTTACATTTAGATATTATTGACTTGCTATTATGATATTATCTATCTTATACATTTACCACACCCACCAATACATATTTCCTCTCCACCCTACCTCTCAAATATTATTACAACACAATTTCTTGGTTAGAATTAGTAGTTGATGTTTTCATTATCATAGCTATATAAATCTTGCTCATAGTTGATGAAATTCTTGTGTGACTTATAGTTCTCCTATTTTGTTGTTCATTTAGTTTTGCATACATTTGTTACTAATATGTTTTCAAATCACCTGGAGCTATAAACCTCTTGTTAATACTACTACAGCCACCAGATAATTTTTTCCTTCACCTGGTGGCATCCCTTGTGGGACCCTCTGGGCTGCTGGTCTAATCTGTACTACTCACCAGTCCTGCTGCATGTTTGCCCCCCAGAGTCCCCTTTACCTCTCTTTTGCATTGAATTCCATGTCTCTTTCTTGACTTTCTGCCTTCTGCAGTTTCCTATAAAAGAGCATACAAGACATAAAAGTTTTGAGACCTTGCGTACTTTTAAGTTAGCCATTACACTTGAGCAATAGTTTGGCTTTATATGTATTGCTATATTGAAGCAATATTCCTTCAGAATTTAAAAAAACAACAATGGCTTCTTTGGGTTCTTGTTTCCGGTATTATTATTGAGAAGTCTGACATATATCTTTTTTTGTTCCTTTTTTTTTTTTTTTTTTTTTTTTTAACATGGAGTCTTGCTCTGTCGCCCAGGCTGGAGTGCAGTGGCACAATCTTGGCTCATTGCAACCTCCGCCTCTCGGGTTCAAGCAACTCTCCTGTCTCAACCTCCTGAGTAGCTGGAATTACAGGCACGCACCATCACAACCGGCTAGTATTTGTATTTTTAGGAGAGACGGGGTTTCACCATGTTGGCCAGGTGGGTCTTGAACTCTTGAATTCAAGTGATCGCCCCACCTCGGCCTCCCAAAATGCCAAGATTACAGACATGAGGCACCATGCCTGGCTGAGATGTCTGACATATTTATATTCCTACCCTTCATATTTGACTTCTTATTTTCTCTCTGAAAGCAAAGTCTAACATTTTCATTTACCTCTAGTGTTCTGGCATTTCATCCCGTTTTTGGTATGGCAAATCAGCCCCACGCTCAGCCTCACCCTCAAAAGACCCAGTTTTGGGTCTTTAACATCTCCAGAAAGTAAACCTTTTGTATTCTGTATTGGGAAGTAGTCACCTTGATAGAGAAACAAGTTGCGGGGATGATTCTTTTGAATTTTATTTATTTGTTCATCCAGACATTCTTTTTTGCATTCAACAAATGCTTATTAAATATTAATAATGTGGCAAGCATGGTGCCTGACAATTAAGATACAGGGAGTCATATCTTCTCTCAAGGATTTAATAGTCTTGTTTCTTTATATTTTATTAGCATTATGATTATATTTCTCTGTTCTTTAGGATTGTATCCTAATATTCACCTATATCTTTACTTAAGTTTAGACTTTTCTCCAACCACTTGGTTTACTTTGTTTCTTCATACTGTAATTGGAGAAGCATTTGTTGGAAGTACACTCTGTGCCACATTCAGTGCTTGAGGTCAGGGAAACATAGATAAGTGAGCATGGAGTCTCTGCCTATACCTTATTCTTTAGATCTCTTTATTTACCTTCTCCTGTGCCCTGGAGACTAAGAGAACTAATAGAGATTTACTTTACTCCAGGGCTTCTGAAAATGAGCAGGGAACAAATCTTTTTCTCTTACATACTTAATCTTAGATTTTTTTTTTCTTTTAAAGTCACCTCATCTCCAAGTCTAGTACTCTACTTGAGAGGGCAGAGGACATGGATAAATGAACATTGTTTTTCTTTCCTTCTCTGATTAGAAGTATATAAGCATTGTGGTGGTAGTCAGAGGGTGGAGGATACGATAGATGCTACTGAAAAAGTTCTTTTTAGACAGCTTATTTAACTAAAAACGACAAAAATGTGATAACTTAGCTCTTTGTTCTCCCTTGAAGTAATGGAGGTCAAGTTCAACAGTGAGAATAAGCAATGTTCCAGGGCAAAAATGAAGTCTGGGAAAGCACACCTTTTAATGACATTCCATTTCTTTCTCTCACAATCCACTCTCTCCATTTCTGTGGCAGTAGGATTGAAAAATGGCTTGTCAATTACTTTACCAGCTCCGACCTTTGCAATTAAAACAGCACTACAAGATTTTCCTTGACTCTGCCATTTTCATTCTCTGTTACATGCACATAAGTTTTTGGGATTCTTGAATTCTTCCACTTTCCAACTAAAATTTAGAAGCATTTCTCAAAAAATTGTTTTGTATGCATGTTTAAAAGGGACATTTGAAATAGGAGGAGCTCAAACTACAGTTTTTAATCATCTTCAAACCTAAATTCAGGAGAGAATATGTTTATTCTCATCACAATTCTTACAGTCCAAATTCTAAATAATTTATTTATATTTGTCAACCACCTTTATTTCTTGTAGCTTGTTTCTTTTCTACAGCACTAACAGATCAGGAAATTTATAATTTCATCTTCCTATGTAAATGAACTATATGATTGATTATATCACATTCAACACCAACATACAATTTCAATACATTTACAACTTTATTCTTTTAAGATCTTTTTTTCATGGTGGATCCATGATGGCTCATTAGGAAATAACTACAAAAATGCAAAAGAGAGTACAGGTAGATTTCAGTTAATAATTGTGAACTTATACATACCTTACAGGTTAAGCAATTGCCAACTTTTGATGATGAAAGCTCTATAGATTTTGTAGGTTTTTAAATTAAAAAATGTTTTTTGAAAATTTGAACTCAGTTTTAATTTTTATTAATTTTATTTTTGAAAGATGAACTTTATGTAACAGTTAAATTATATAAGGTGAAATGGAATTAGGCAAGAAGGATGAAACAATTTTAATGATTCTTTGCAGATGCAAATATGACTGCTGATTTTTACTTAATATTTTTAAAGTGCTTAATTATGAAATACAATTGTAGTGAATCTATATGTCATAAAGTATTGAATATCTAAAATATTAGCAGATATATCATAATAAACACACTTTCAATAGAGCAAATATAAAGACATAAATTTTATTTTTTTGCATTATGGTAAACTTCAGCCACTTAATCTATCACCTGCATCAGGCAGTCCTGTTTCCCAGAGATTCTCAAGCATCAATGCTGCTCCTATAACTTGACATGGTCATGTGACTAAGTTTAGAATCTATTTTTAAACGTAACTTCTGCTGTAGTTCTTTGTAACTCAATACATTGTCCCTACATTTTTACTTTGTTTAAAAATTCTTAGATATTTAATCATTTTTTCTTTGTTGCATTTGCTATTTACTCATTTACTCTGCTCATTTCAAAGAGGTCCAGTGAAAGAGACATAAAGGTATATTGATGCACTATTTTGTTTCACCAGTGCAATTATTATTTCACATTTTCTTATTTCTGTGATTAATTAAAAACATAATTTTAGTAGTGGAAAACACTGATGCATATGATCTTATACATGGCAGTCTTTTGTGTCTATAATATTTTTTCTCATATTTTTGTATTCAATGATGCTAATTATTATAATCTATTACAAAAATCAAGTTCATAGATATCTACTCTGCCATATTTCCAAGTCCCTACTTTCAATATTTTATCAGTTTCCATATGCCTTTCCAATACTCAAAACCCTCCATAGTTTGATGATAATAAGAAATAATCATATTCTACTGGTCATCCTCTGCCTTTGTCAACTTTTCTTGAACTGTTTCCTCAGAATGATGGTGACTTTTAAAATTCTGTTTAGGCCAGGTGTGGTGGCTCATGCCTGTAATACCAACACTTTGGGTGGCTGAGGTGAGCAGATTTCTTGAGCCCAGATGTTTGAGACCAGCCTGGGCAGCATAGCAAAACCCCGTCTCTACAAAAAAATACAGAAAATTAGCCAGGTGTGGTGGTGCGCACCTGTAGTCCCAGATACTTGGCAGGTTAAGGTGGGAGGATCACTTGATTGTGGGAGGTCAAGGCTGCAGTGAGCCAAGATTACACCACTGTACTCCAGCCTGAGTGACAGAGAGAAAACCTGTCTCAAAAAAAAAAAAAAGAAAGAAAGAGAAAAGAAAATTCTATTTGACACATGATGCATGTGTATGTACTCCAACTGATGTTTAATCAACACATTATAATTTTGAGAGGGTTCTCTGGTTGAATATCTTTGGAAAAAGCTATTCTCCCTTCCCCTTCCTTTTCCTTTTCCCTCCACCTCTTTCTCTTTCTCTGTTGGCTTTCTCCACTTTTTTTTTTATTAACAGGGCAGATTATTACTAACCCACAGCCTCCTGAATTTGTATGTTTCAGTTCCAGTTATACACAGGACTGCTCCCTGGTTCTCAATTCTAGCCCAAAACTATCTAACTTGTCCAACATGCATTTGGTGACATCTCTGATCCAATTGCCTGTAGCTAGAACATTGAGGTACTGTACAAGTATGAATCACTCTTGTGAAATGGTAACCAATTCCAAGAAAAAGAATGTGACGTTGGGGGTCAGGTAGAAACCTGAGGAGATTATGGCAATATATAGAAATACGGCAATTTATAAGCACTCAATTTTAATCTTTTTCAGGATATTACAAATGTTGCCATTATTTCTTTGAGTCTCCAGAAAATATCTAGGCTATGGTGAAAGGCCAAAATAAAATTAACCCCTAATTTTCATTATTAATTTGTAGAAAAGTTACTTTTTAATTTTAAGGTAAATAATTAACATGAGTTAATTTATGTTACATATTTAGAAGAACACCTGACACACAGTAACCACCATGTGAATATTTGTTGCTCTTATTCTCCTATTTGTTTATTCATTCCATGTCTCTTATATGCCAGAATTATACCAAATGCTGGGGAAACATAGTTGTTGGAGACTTTACCTCTTCCTCTTTTTACCTTCAAGGAGCTCAGTTTAAAATATATGTAGAAATATGGAAACTAAGATTGTGCAAGGAGATATTTAAGTCAAATGCATTAGGATTTTTTATTTATATTTTTTAAAAATTTATTTTTATTTATTTATTTGAGACAGGGTCTTGCTCTGTCACCTAGGCTGGTGTCATCTGGACTCACTGAAGTCTTGATCTCTCGGCTCAAGCAATCCTTCCAAGTCAGCCTTCCAAGTAGCTGGAACCACAGACATGTGTCAACATGCCTGGCTAATTAATTTTGTTTTTGTGTTATTTTGTAGAGACAAGTTCTCTCTGTGTTGCCCAGGGTGATCTCAAACTCCTAGGCTCAAGTTGTTATCCTTCCTCGGCTTCCCAAAGTGCTGGAATTACAGACAGGAGTGAGCCACTACACTATGCTTTATAACTGATGATGGATACCTTATTTACAATATAAGATGTGACCAAGCATGGTCAATTAAGCAAAATTTATCTTTGATGTTTCTCTCATCATCTTTTTGCATGCAGCTTTCTTTTCATGTCCTTCTTCCCTACTCTTAGTGTTGTTTGTGAACCCAAATGTGCCTGGGACCTGTCTTCTTTCTAGCACTTAAAGATTTGAATATTTTCAGATCTGGTTTTCCTGTGGATCTTGTGTCTCACTGTGACTTCTAAAATATCAAGGCCCTTTCCCACTCTGACTTCTCATAATGGATCTGATGGGATATGGGGAGGGGAGAGAAGCTGAAAGAGTGACCATGTTAGAATAGACGAACTCAGAGAGTTGAAACCAGAAACCTAAGTGGTAAACTTGTGAGAAGAAAAACATATATATTACATTTATGTGCTGGAGCAATGCAACAAAGAGAAAATCGGCTAGCATAATTGATCAGATCACTGTTAGAGGGCTCACCAGCAGAAGTTGGATATCCTAAACAATTCAAGCTAAGATGAATACAGTATGGAGTAGGAGAGATGAAAAGCAGAACAAGGACTGAAACTATATGTCTGCACAGCCTGAATTAAAATGCTCTTAATGATCTAAATCCTCTTAATGATCTTCTTGTTTCCTTTTAGAATCTGGAAAGTATTAGGTTGGTGCTGAAGTATTTTTTTTTCTTTCAATGGCAAAAACCACAATTACTTTTGCACCAACCTAATACTTTGCTGATAAAGTGGCTTACTTGAGTATGAATACTTTCAAAATGGCAAAAAGACTATTTTCAATCCTTTGGTTAAGAGTGGGTATGATAGTTTACAAGTAAACCTCTGTTCTGGGAAGAGCAAACGTTTGCTGATTGGACACATAGTGCTTCCAAACGCATTTTAGGTTATCCACTTGAACCGTCCATTCTATGATTATTCCCACTGTGATCGTGCCTCATGATCTGACCAATTCTTCTCAGTACTTGTCTATGTGTTTTCTGTAAATTATAATGATTTAAATACCTCCATATACAGATGGTGTTTGTATACGTATGCTTATCACTGGACCATTGGCTGAGTTTTAGGGTCCTGTCTCAGCTTGACTGCCAGGCATATCTACTTAAATATTCCACAGGCACCTTAAATGTAATAGGCATAAAAGGGAATATGTATATTCCCTTCCAACACCTCTCACCTTGAGCCAAATCTTGGTCAACTAACCGGCCTAATATTAAAAATTCTTCATGTTCTATCTTAATAGTAACACTAGCTATCCAGACCCAACATTCATAATACCATATTTCACCTTCTCCTTCACTAATCATAGATGATAAATAGCTAAGTCTAGAAATTTCACCCTTAGATATTTTCTTAAGTCTTTATCTTACTTCCATCCCTGATTCCCTGCTATAATTTCCTTAGAAAAGACTCTAATAATTTATTTTAAAACTATGTAATATTTAAGATATAAGAATATGTAACGCATATGTCAGTTATGAAGCATAATAATCAACACATACAAACGTATGCCCAACAAAAATTAGACCACTTAAAACCTTTGATCTCGTTTGTGCTTTCTTCCCTGATCTCATCTACATGCCTTTCTATCTCCATGGAGAGTAACAACTTCCCTGAATTTTGTGTTCTTAATTTCCAGTTTTTAAGTTTAAAATCACATCTATCTATCCATAAACAATATGTTGTTTAGTTCTGCTTATTTTGACCTTAATCACACACACACACAAACACACACACATATATTCTTCTAATACTTGGTTTTTCATTCAGAATTATCCATTTATGATTTATGCAGAAGTAGTTTCTCCTCTTTCACTGCTATATAATATTTTATTGCAGAATATATGACAATGCATGTATCACACTCTTGTCTAAGAACATTGCAGTTGTTTCCAGGATTCTGCTATTATAAACAATGTTGCTATGAACATTTTTATAAATTTCACCAGGGGTTCATAAGCAAAAGATTCTCCAGATCATACAGCTCAGAGTCAAGTGCCTTGGGCATAAGGTATGTGAATGTTCAAATGATGAGGTCCATCATTTTACAAAATATTCGTACCAGTTTATCACCTATCCTTGACAAGCCTAATATGATTCAACATTAACTTTTGTCAATCTAGTAATTTAAATATTACATCATTGAGGTAAATTTGTGCCCTATAATTTTTAATTATGCTGAGTACCTTTTCAAATGATGGACGTCCACTTTTCTTTATGGTGAAATATCTTTTTCTCTGCTGTTTTTTTCCCAGTGGGTTATTTGTCTTTTTCTTATTGATTGTGAGTTATTTTCCTATTTTGTCGTTTAATCATTAAGTCTTTTTAAGTACCATATTCTATTTAACACACCTCCTTTCTTCATTTAAAAATATAAAATAGTTTAGGCATATAGAAAAGTAAAAAATATAACATAAAAATTCATGTGTACCCCTAATTAAGCTAAGAAAGAAGAGATTGCAAATACAGTTTTAGGTTCTTTCTATAGCCTTCTCTGACCATATCCCCTCCTTCCCTGTGCCTTCCATTTCCCTGTCTCTCCTGTCAGCAAGGTACTGAATTTGATGTTTATTTCTATGCCTTCTTTTATATCATAATTAGATTAATATATGATTCCCTGAAACAGAATATATTCTTTTGCTTTGTTGGTAACTCTTATGATATGATGTATATTTTTCTGAAATGTACCCTTTTCTCCCTCTGCATTTTATTTGTTAGATGCATTCTTGCTGATATAGCTTTAGTTTATTTCATTTTTGTATAACATTTAAATACACTATAACTTATTAATCTGTTCTCTTCTTGATAGACTTTGAAGGTATCTCTAATTTTTAACTTTTACAAATGATGCTATTAAAGACATTTTTGTACATTTTTTTTGTATTCATCTGTAAGAATTTCTCTAGAGTACATGCCTAGGAATGAGATTTCTGGATTGTGTCTTCAACTCCACCAGCTATCACCATATTTCTTTCCAAAGTTTTTGTACTTGTTCACATTCTCACTGCCAGCATAGAAGAGTTCTTATTGATCCACATGGTTTCTAGTTTTTGTTATTGTCAGATTGCCAATCTTATGGGTATGAAATTGTGTCCCGTTTGGATCCAGCTTTAAGAACAATAATAAACATGAAATATCCTATTCTCCAATATCTAGGTCATGCTGTAATTTCCTCGTTGACTTTACCCGCTCCCAACCCAGCAGGTGGAGTAAAAAACGTATGTTAGATGAAGAGTAAAGTGACAGTTACATTATGTTCTGGTTATATATTGTTGTTTAATAAATTACTTCAAAATTGAATGACTTAAAACAGCACTTATGAAATCAGAGGCAGTAACTCTGAGTTTCAGAGTTATATCTTGGGATTTGTTTTTACCTGCAGACTCCAAACAGATGTTTTACTTATTGATTAATTTGAATGATTATCTCTCACAATTCTCTGGGTGAGAGAGCTTAGCTGGATGGTTTTCATTTAATATCTCCTGGGTTTCAGTTAGCTGGAACTGGAGCTGAAGTCTCTAAAGGTTTGACTGGGCTGGGTTTTCAGGTGGCTCACTCTCATTCCGGCATATGCTGACAGCTGTCAGCTAGAGTTCAACTGGGGATTTTGAGACATGCCAACACCTGCCCTCTTCACGTGACTTGGTCATCTCATAGCACGGTGGCTGAATCCTGAGGCAGAGGGTCCTAGGGCTAGTCTTGCAAGCGACAGGAAATGGAAACTGCCAGGTATGTTTTAGACCTGGGCTTGGAGTTCCCAGAATGTCACTTCTGCCTCGTTTCATTGGTCAAAGCAGACACAGTGCTCATCCAGTTTCAAAGGTGGAGAAAATCGTTTTTCTTTCTTAATGGGAAGATGGCAAGATCACACTGCAAGCAAGCAGGACAGGAGGTATTGTGATCATTTTGGGAAACATTACCACATGACAGTTCTGTTTTTAAATTTTTATTTCAGTCCATAATTTGACCAGAAAAATGTCACACAGTTACTGAAGAAGTCAATGTAAATGGTGAAATTCAATAAGATATTAAAACAGCATGTAAATTGTGACACTATGAGTTGCCTTCATTTTTTTATTTTTTTGGGATGGGAGTCTCACTCTGTCACCCAGGCTGGTGTGCAGTGGCGTGATCTCGGCTTACTGCAAACTCTACCTCCTGGATTCCAGCGATTCTCCTGCCTCAGCCTCCTGTGTAGCTGGGATTAGAGGCATGTGCCACCAACCCTGGCTAATTTTTGTATTTTTAGTAGAGACAACATTTCGCCGTGTTGGCCAGGCTGGTCTCGAACCCTTAACCTCAGGTGATACACGCACCCCGGCCTCCCAAAGTGCTGGGATTACAGGTATGAGTCACCTTGCCCAGCCGAGTTGCCTTCATTTTGTTATGAAATCAGAAACAGTAACTCTGAATTTCAGGGTTGTATCCTGGGATGAGTTTTTTACCTGTGGACTCAAACAGATGTTTTATTTATTGATTTATATGAATGACTTAGAAATTAATTTACCTTTTTAATAACATTATTAGAAATCTTTATTATTAGCCTTTAAATATTCAGTATAATATTTAGTACATTATGATGACATTTATACAGGAAGTGAGACATTTGAAATGTTTAGTTGAAAATTCAGTTTACTATATTTTATTTTTAAAGAAGAACTATTAAGTGTAAATTAATTTATTCTCATATCCTTAGAATCTTACAAAATGAGGCAGTGAAATGGCCTCAGATATCTCTGGGTGAAATATATATACTTACATATATTGTTGGAGGTATGTCTTCTTGGTATGTAAGAGCAAATTTTGTTGGATTTATTAGGTCAATAATTGCTCCATGTAGTCAACTGACTAGTCTGGTATTTTATAATTGATGGGAAGCCAGGAAGTTCCCACATAACTTTATGTTGTGATAAGGCTGTAGAATAAATTATGTCCTTGTTCAACGGACATTCATACTTGCCACATTTTTCTGCCAAGAGAAAAAAAATAACATAACTGAAGTCTATGCTCTCTTTTTCCCACAAAAATTCACAAAATACCGTCTCCATTTTGTTAATTTCTCTGACCAGCTGAAGTCATTTTTTAAATCATATGATGGAATAGTAATACAGTGTTGGCTATGATTGTGTCAAAATGATTGTCATTTTAAAATGGCAGTTTATGGGACAAAGGGTTATTATTGGAAGTAGTATTTGGAATAATTTGGGATTTGGGAGTATATGGGTCAAGAAGACTTTGACGTATGGCAAAGAGAGTCATTCTGGAAAATATTTGATTTGCAAGTTGAGATGGGCACCGGAAAAACTGAGAAGCCTAATCATTGTTTTGAAACAATGAGATGAGAAATACCTTCGCTTTTACACTGTCTTTTACTCAACAGATTTATTGTCTCTTCTCTCTCAAGCTTAAGCAGCCTACAAATTTTAGTAAAACATGCTAGTTGCCATACCATGCATTGGATTTCCTGACATGAGGCACTCTTGGAGACACTTAAAAGCAGTATCCCATATAGATGCACAAATTCAAAGGTGTCATCACTCCATCCTGTTTTCAGAGAGACAAGAGAGAAAAAACATATTAGCAATATGCAACATTCAACTAGCTAATAAAAACAACCAAATGAAAAGCTTTGAAAATAACCATTCTGAATTGAGATGATTTGGTTAGAAAAATATTTATTTTTATTCCTACCCTTTTAAGTAGAATTTTGTACCTTGGTGTATTCAAGAGTATGTTAATTCTTTACAATTTTTAGATTATTAAAAATTACTGGCCGGGCGCGGTGGCTCATGCCTGTAATCCCAGCACTTTGGGAGGCCGAGGCGGGTGGATCACGAGGTCAGGAGATCGAGGCCATCCTGGCTAACACGGTGAAACCCCGTCTCTAATAAAAATACAAAAAATTAGCCGGACGTCGTGGCGGGTGCCTGTAGTCCCAGCTACTCGGGAGGCTGAGGCAGGAGAATGGCGTGAACCCGGGAGGCGGAGCTTGCAGTGAGCCGAGATCGCGCCACTGCACTCCAGCCTGGGCAACAGAGCGAGACTCCGTCTCAAAAAAAAAAAATTATTAAAACTTTTACTGCTAAAAAACTAAACATAGAGCTACCATATGATGCAGCAATCCTACTACTGGGTATATACCCAGAAGAAAGGAAACCAGTATATCAAAGAGATATCTGCACTCCCATGTTTGTTGTAGCACTATTTACAATAGCTAAGATTTGGAAGTAACTGGTGTCCATCAACAGATGAACACAGGTTGGTTTGGTATATTCACACAGTCGTGCAACCATTACTACCATCAATTTTGAAACAAGTTTGTCAGCTTCCCCCCGACCCCCACAAAGCTCATGCCAGTTAGTCACTCCTCTCACCTGAATCCTTACTGCCTGCCAGAGGCAGCTACTAATCTAATTTCTGTCTCTATAGATTTACTTATGGAAATTCCATATAAATAGAATCATACAATATGGTCTTTTGTGACTGGCATCTTTCATGTAGAATAAATGTTATCAAGGTTTGTCCATAATGAGGGATGTTTCAGATCTTCATTCTTCATATTGCCAAATATTCCATTGTTTATACCACATTTTATTTATCTATTCATGCTTGATGGATATTTTGGTCCTTTCCATTTGTCAGCTATTATGAATAATGTCACTATAAACATTCATGTACAAACTTTTGTGTGGACATATATTTTTTTTTCCTAAACTTTTATTTTAGGTTCAGGGGTACATGTGGAGATTTATTACATAGGTTAACTTGTGTCACCAGGGTTTGTTGTTACAGATTATTTCATCACCCAGGTATTAAACCCAG
The DNA here is from genome assembly GCF_000001405.40 of Homo sapiens. Classification (NCBI taxonomy): domain Eukaryota; kingdom Metazoa; phylum Chordata; class Mammalia; order Primates; family Hominidae; genus Homo; species Homo sapiens. The sequence goes on along the minus strand of NC_000007.14, from coordinate 114,005,678 downwards.
TACTCAATAGTTATCTTTTCTGCTCATTACCTGCTCCTACTCTCCATCCTCATATAGACCCCAGTGTCTGTTGTCCCCTTCTTTGTGTTCATGATTTCTCATCCTTTAGCTCCCACTGATAAGTAAGAACATGTGGCATTTGGTTTTCTATTCCTGTGTTAGTTTGCTAAGGATAATAGCCTCCAGCTCCAACCATGTTCCCACAAAAGACATGATCTCACTCTTTTTTATGGCTTCATAGTATTCCATGGTGTTTTTTATCACATTTTCTTTATCCAATCTGTCATTGATGGGCATTTAGGTTGATTCCATGTATTTACTATTGTAAATAGTGCTGCAATGAGCATATGCATGCATGTGTCTTTATAATAGAATGATTTGTATTCCCCTGGGTATATACTCAGTAAGGGGATTTCTGGGTCATATGGTAGTTCTGCTTATAGCTCTTTGAGGGATCACCATACCGCTTTCCACAATGGAAGAACAGTTTACACTGTATAAACAGTGTATAAATGATTTCTTTTCTCTGCCACTTTGCCACCATCTATTACGTTTTGACTTTTTAATAATAGCAATTCTGACTGGTGTGAGATGTTTTCTCATTGTGGTTTTGATTTGCATTTCTCTAATGATCAGTGATATTTAGCTTTTTTTCATATGCTTGTTCCCTGCATGTATGTCTTCTTTTGAACATTGTTCATGTCCTTTGCCCACTTTTTTTAATGGGTTGTTTGTTTTTCTCTTGTAAATTCGTTTAAGTTCTTCATAGATGCTTGATAGTAGACCTTTGTCAGGTGCATAATTTGCAAAAATTTTCTTCCATTTTGTAGATTGTCCGTTTACTCTGTTGATAATTTATTTTGTTGTGCAGAAGCTCTTAAGTTTAATTAGGTTCCATTTGCCAAGTTTTGCTTTTGTTGCAATTTCTTTTGGTGTCATTGTCATGAAATCTTTGCCTGTTCCTATGATGAGGTTGGTATTCCCTAGGTTGTCTTCTGGGATTTTTATAGTTTGGTGTTTTTTGTTTTTTGTTTTTGAGATGGAGTCTCACTCTGTCGCCCAGGACAGAGTGCAGTGGCATGATCTCAGCTCACTGCAACCTCCGCTTCCTGGGTTCAAGCAATTCTCCTGCCTCACCCTTCTGAGTAGCTGGGACTACAGGCACAGGCCACCAGGCCCAGCTAATTTTTGTGTTTTTTAGTAGAGATGGAGTCCCACCATTTTGGCCAGTATGGTCTCAAACTCCTGGCCTCAAGTCATCCGCCCACCTTGGCCTCCCGAAGTGTTGGGATGACAGGCATGAGCCACCATGCCTGGCAGTTTTGGGTTTTATATTTAAGTCTATAATTCATCTTGGGTTGATTTTTACATATAAACCCAAGGGATCCAGTTTCAACCTTCTGCATAAGGCTAGCCAGTTATCCCAGCACCATTTATTGAATAGCTTTTTCCCATTGTTTGTTTTTGTCAGCTTTGTCAAAGATCAAATGATTGTAGGTGTGTGGCCTTATTTCTGTTTCATTGGTCTGTGTGCCTCTCTATTCTGTTTCATTGGTCTGTGTGCCTTTTTTGGTACCAATATTATGTTTTTTTAGGTTACTATGCCCCTTTAGCATAGTTTGAAGTCAGGAAATGTTTCTTTTCCTTAGGATTGCCCTAGTCATTTGGGCTCTGTTTTGGTTCCATATGAATTTTAAAATAGTTTTTCCTAGTTCTTTGAAGACTGTCATTGTTAGTTTGATAATAATAGCATTGACTCTGTAAATTGCTTTGGGGAGTATGGCTATTTTAATGATATTGATTCTTCCTGTACATGAGCGTGGGACGTTTTTCCATTTTTTGTGTGTGTGTGTCTTTGATTTCTTTCAGTACTTTTTTGTAATCTTCATTGTATAGATCTTTCACCTTCCTGGTTAGTTGTATTCCTAGGTATTTGATTCGTTTTATGGCAATTGTGAATGGGCTTGCCTTCCTGATATGGGTCTCAGCTTGACTGTTGTTGATGTATAGGAACGCTAGTGATTTTGGTACATTAATTTTGTATCCTGAAACTTTGCTGAAGTTGTTTATCAGCTGAACGAGTTTTTGGGCCAAAACTATGGGGATTCTAGATATGGAATCATGTTGTCTGCAAACAGGGATAGTTTGACTTCCTGTTTTCCTATTTTGATGCCCTTCATTTCTTTCTCTTTCCTGACTGCTCTGGCTAGGACTTCCAACACTATGTTCAATAGGGGTGGTGAGAGAGGTCATCCTTTCCTTGTGTCTGTTTTCAAGGGTAATGCTTCCAGCTTTTGCCCGTTCAGTGTGATGTTGGCTATGAGTTTGTCATAGATGGTTCTCATTATTTTGAGGCATGTTCCTTCAATACCTAGTTTATTGGCAGTTTTTAACCTGAAGGGGTGTTGAATTTTATCAACAGCATTTTCTGCACCTATCGAGATAACCATGTGACTTTTGTCTTTAGTTCTATTTATGTGATGAATCACATTTATTAATTTGCAGATGTTCAGCCAAGCTTGTATCCTGGGGATGACATCTACTTAACTGTGGTGGATTAGCATTTTGATGTGCTGCTGAATTTGGTTTGCAAGTATTTTGTTGATGATTTTTTCATCAAAGTTCATCAAGTATATTGGCCTGAAGTTTTCTTTTTTTGTTATCGGACTGCCAGGTTTGGTGTCAAGATGATTCTGGCCTCATAGAATGAGTTGGGGAAGAGTCCATTCTCAATATTTTGGCATAGTTTCAGTAGGAATGGTACCAACTCTTCTTTGTACATCTGGTAGAATTGAGCTGTGACTCCATCTGATCCTGAGCTTTTTTTTTGATTGGTAGGCTACTTATTACTGATTCAGTTTTGGAGCTCATTATTGGTGTTTTTGGGGAATCAATTTCTTCCTGGCTCAGTCTTGGGAGGGTATATGTGTCCAGGAATGTTTCCATCTCTTCTAGGTTTTCTAGTTTGTGTGCATAGAGATGTTCATGGTAGTTTCTGATAGTTATTTTTAGTTCTGTGGAGTCAGTGGTAACATTCCCTTTGTCATTTCTAATTGTGTTTATTTGAATCTTCTCTCTTTTGTTCTTTATTAGCCTAGCTAGTGGCCTATCTTATTAATGTTTTCAAAAAACCAATTCCTGGATTCATTGATCTTTTGAATTTTTTGTGTGTTTTGATTTCCTTCATCTCTGATTTTGGTTATTTCTTGTCTTATGTTAGCTATTGGATTTGTTTGCTTTTGGTTCTCTAGTTCTTTCAGTTGTGATGTTAAGTTCTTAATTTGAGTTCTTTCCACTCTTTTAATGAGGGCATTTAATGCTATGAATTTCCCTCTTAACACTGCCTTGGCTGTATCCAGAGATTCTGGCATGTTGTCTCTTTGTTTTCATTAGTTTCAAATAACTCCTTGATTCCTGCCTTAATTTCACTATTTATCCCAAAGGCATGTGGGAGCATGTTGTTTTATTTTCAGTAATTGCCTGGTTTTGAGTGATTTTCTTAGTCTTGGCTTCTATTTTTATTGTGTTGTGGTCCAAGAGTGTCTAGTATGATTTCAATTATTTTGTATTTGCTGAGGATTGTTTTATGTTAATTAGGTGGTCAATTTTTGAGTGTGTGTCATTTGGTGATGAGAATGTATATTCTGTTGTTGTTGGGTGGAGAGTTCTGTAGAGATCTATCAGATCCATTTGATCCAATGTTGAGTTCAGGTCCTGAAGATCTTTGTTAATTTTCTGCCTTGATAATCTGTTAATTTTCTGCCTTGATAATTGATAGTATTAGATATACTGTCAATGGAAGGTTGAAGTCTCCCATTATTATTATGTGGGAGTCTATGTCTCTTTGTAGGTATCTTTGAACCTGCTTTATGAATCTGGGTGCTCCTGTGTTGGGTGCATTTATATTTAGGATAGTTAGGTGTTCTTGTTGAATTGAACCTTTTACCATTATGTAATCCCCTTGTCTTTTTTGAACTTTGTTCTTTTAAAGTCTGTTTTATTTGAATTTATAATTGCAACTCCTGTTTTTTTTTTCTGTTTTCCATTTGCTTGGTAGATTTTCCTCTATCCCTTTATTTTGAGCCTATGTGTGTCATTACATGTGAGATGGGTCCCTTGAAGACAGCATACCATTGGATCTTGCTTTTTTACCCAGCTTACCACTCTGTGCCTTTTAAGTGGAGTCATTTAGCACATTTACACTCAAGATTAGTTTTGATACGTGTGGATTTGATTCTGTCATTGTGTTGTTAGCTGGTTATTATGGTGGCTTGTTTGTGTGGTTACTTTACAGTGTCACTGGTCTGAGTATTTAAGTGTGTTTTTTGTATTAGCTGGTAGTGGTATTTCCTTTCTATACTTAGCACTCCTTTCAAGATCTCTTTTAAGGCAAGTCTGGTGGTAACAAACTTCCTCAACATTTGCTTATCTGAAAAGGATGTTATTTCTCCTTCACTTAAGAAGCTTAGTTTGGCTGGATATGAAATTCTTGGTTAAAGATTCTTTTTCTTTACAGAATGTTAAATATAGGCCCACAACCTCTTCTGGCTCATAGGGTTTCAGCTGAGAGGTCCACTGTTAGCCTCATGGGGTTCCTTTTGTAGGTGACCTGACCTTTCTCTCTAGCTGCATTTAACATTCTTTCTTTCATTTCAACTTTGGAAAATCTTATGATTATGTTTTATATATATTTTCGTTACTCTTCAGTATATACCTGGGAGTGGAATTGCTGGTTCATACGTGAATTACATTAAAAATTTTGTAATTTCTATGTTGCTGTTGTAATTGAAGTAGAGGAGGGTAGAGAGAGAGAAAGAGAGATAGTTCAGGGTTGAGAACCTGAGTCAGGCGCATATAAAGTAGTTTCTAGGTCTCTGTGATACCTAGAGGAGCACGAATAGTTACACACACACTGACTAAATAAGAGAAATACCTCGTGATGTGTGAATGGAAATTCTGGAACAGAGATTATTTCTGCTGGTTAAATCTTAACCTCATATATCAAATATAATTTTTTTTTCCTTTGGGAGCAAGAGAAAAGTATAAGGCCTATATGGCTATATGTCTATGCAAGTACAGGGTAAATATCAAGGCTCATTTTAAAAAACCATAAAGTTCCTTCATTAATTCACTCATCTATATATTTTTGAGGGTTTATAATACATGTGGCATTTATTTTCTAGGTGATTGAGGTACATCATTGAACAAAACAGACAATTATTTGTGTCTTCCTGAAGCTTACATCTTAGCAGACACTGGAGATATGTGTTATAAATAAATTACTCAAAAATGATGGTTGGACAAAACAACGTGGTTTGTGCACATTGAGGTATAGTTTTCTGTGGTAAAAGCAAAACAACAACAACAAAACAGACCCCAAAGTCTCTAATCAAGCAAAAATGAATCTAATCATTATCAATCTAATTAGTCATTACCTATTTAGTCCAATTATTAAATCAATCATTGTCTAATCATTACACAATTGATCACTTTCATCTATTCTAATGTAATTTGCTTTTAAAATATGAATTTTCCTAATTTTCATATATGAAGGTTTATATTTATACAAAATGCAGCTAGAATCATGCCACACATTCTGCATATTTATGCATTTTGTGTAACTGAATATTATGGACAATTACCCAATTCATTTTATTTGGTTATATAGTATTCCATTGTATTAATATGGAAACATTAGTTTGTAAACATTTTGGTGGTTTCCATTTTGTTATTATTATAATATTGCTATAATTAACATCTTTTACATACATATTTTAAAGATGTGTATGTGTATATGTATGTATAAATGTTTATGTGTGTGTGCATGTGTATGTATTTAAACACTAATATGAGTACATCTATTTGTTAAATAAATAACTAGAGGTAGACCTATTGGGTCAATGGCTATAAATATTTGAAATTTCAGTATTTTTGGCTAAACTGTCTCCCATTCAGCCCTGATAGCAGTTCCAGAGTTCTAGGATAAAAGCCATGGATGATGCTGCCTTTTGTTTTGCAATAGCCATCATGAACACTGCATGAGATGAAGAATACATTTAAATCTATTTTTGGAATAATAACATATTGATTAAAATTCATGGTAAATGGAATAATTTTGGTTTAGTGATTTGGGAAGTCCAAAAAATGCACCCTTTTGGGATAGTATCCTGTGTGTCTGTCTTCTAAGAATAAGAGATGTCACTGTCATTGGAAAGTATTTGATAGATGATGATAAAACCTAAATGGTTATTTGGGGCATGCAAATAGCAATTGTGACTCAAGGTTTAGAGGCCATATTTTAGCCCCATTCCCACTTATTAATTTGCTGTGATTGTATATATTTACATTATTTGCTGTGATTGTATTTGCTGTGATTGTATGTACTTATACAAAACTCATTATTCATTTTTTTTCTATTTTCAAGTAACCCTCTAAACATGCAAATAATGGCAGAAAATCAGCTTGACACAGATATCTGTGGCTTTTGCACTGAAGCATACTCATCAAGCTGACTGCTGAATTATTTCATGATAGGATAATTTTACTTCAAGTCTTAATACCATAGAGGTCACATGGTTTAGTTATATTCATGAGGGAGCTGTCACTTTCAGGCTCCTAATATCAGTCACTCTTCTATCTATATTTGGTTTATGGATTCAGGAAAGTGTGATAGCAGTTATTAGCTGCTCTCAGAAAATCCTCTTGCAAGATAGATTTATTTCCTGATTAATGATGGAAATGATCCAGTATTAATTTCAGTTTTTGATATCAACAATTTTATGTTAACATCATTCTTGCTATGTTCACCTTTCAAATTACTATGATCATTATAATGATTAAAAAGCTATTATTTGATTTAGATTCACTCTGTAATTACCAGCCATAGCATTTCTGACATTTCTAACTAAATTTGGGTATATGAGCTGCACCGTGACTAACAAAAGATTTTCTAAGGAAGATTTTCCTGTGAATTTGGGTAAATTTAAGGTATTGAAAACCAGGCAAGTAGTGTTTGTCATAAATTCTGTCCTATCTGAACATGATTCTTGATAGGCATTGTGCTTTGTTTTATGGCTTTTTAACCTAAATTAGGATAACTTATGTGATATTTTTGCCATATATTTCTCAACATTACTTCTATAAAAACACCTAATTGTCTATTACTTTACTTTTTAAGTTATATTCTCAGAATATTTGACCTTACTATTCCATGTTTTTCACTGTCATTAATGGGAATAAGGGATTTAATTGCAGCATAAGAAAAGTGCTCTCAGTTACTGACCACAGGATTAATAATTACCTTAATAATTCTCACCTTTTGAGGTATTTCAATAAAATAAATCAATGAAGGCAGCAAAGAATTTGTCATTAGGTGCCAAAAAGATTGCTGAATTTATTTATTTAGTATTTGTCTGTCTTTTTCAGGTTTATTGAGCTTTAATTGACAAAATTATATACATTTAATGGGTACAATGTGATAATTTGATATATGTATACCTATATTGTATACATATTGTAAAATGATTACCACGATAGTCGTCACTTCACATAGTTACCATTTTTGTGATGAAAACACTTTTGATCTACTCTCTTAGCAAATTTCGAGTATACAATACAGTACTATTAACTATAGTCACCACAGTACGTTAGATCCCTAGAACTTATTCATCTTATAACAGAAAGTTTGTACTCCTTAACCAACATACCACTCCATCTCTTTAGCTGCTGGCAACCGCTATTCTACTCTTTATGATTTCAACTATTTTAGACTTCACATATGAGATCATACAGTATTTGTCTTTCTGTGTTTGCCTTATTTTGTTTAGCATAATGTCCTTCAGCTTCATCCATGTCACAAATAGCAGGGTTTCTTTTTTCATGGCCAGATAATATTCTATTTCTCTCTGTTTCTCTCCTCTCTCTCCACACACACACACACACACACACAAACGCACACATGCATCCCACATTTTCCTTATTCATTCATCTGTTGATGGACACTTAGAGTGTTTTCATATCTTGGCTGTTGTAGATAATGCTACAATGAACATGGGGGTGCAGATATCACTTTGATTTACCGGCTTTGTTTCCTTTTGATATCCAGAAGTATATAGCGGAATCCTATTTTAATTTTTTGAAGAAACTCCATACTGTTTTCCATAATGGCTGTTTCAATTTACCTTCCCACAGGCAAGGTAAAAGGGTTCCCTTTCTCCATATCCTTGTAAACATTAGTTAACTCTTTTTTTTTATAGCCATTCTAACAGATGGGAGGTGACATTCCATTGTGATTTTGATTTGCATTACTTGATGATTAATGATAGTTGCACCTTTTCATATACCTGTTAGCCATTTGTATGTCTTCTTTGGGAAAAATGTTTATTTAAGTCTTCTGTTCATTTTTAAACTGAATAATTTATGGGGTGTGTGTGTGTGTGTGTGTGTGTGTGTGTGTGTGTGTGTGTGAGACTGAGTTGTAAGAGTCCTTTGTATATTTTGGATATTAACCCCTAATCAGTTATAAAGTTTACAATTATTTTCATCCATTCTATAGGTTGCCTTTTCATTCCATCCACTGTGTACTTTGCTGTGCAGAGCTTTTTAATTTGATGTGGTACTACTTGTTTATTTTGGCTTTTTTGCCATGCTTTTGGGTTCATATCCAAAAGATCATTGCCAAGATCAATGTCAAATAGCATTTTCCCTATTATTTCTTCTAGGAGTTTTCTGATTTCAGGACTTACATGAAGTTTTTTTTTTTTTTATCCACTTAGTTAATCTTTGCATATGATATAAGAAAAGGGTCCAATTTTGTTCTTTTGCATGTGAATATCCAGTTTACCCAAACCATTGATTGAAGAGACTATTCTTTTCCCATATGGATTCTTGGCACTCTTGTTGGAACTTATTTGACCATATATGCCTGCGTTTATTTCTGGACCCTCTATTCTGTTCTGTTGGTTTATATGTCCGTTTTTTGTTGTTGTTTGTTTGTTTTAATTTCCCATACTGTACCGACGTATATGTGTCTATTTTTATGCCACTGCCATTCTCTGTTTATTACTATAGCTCTGTAATGTAGTTGAAATCAAGAAGGGTGAGGTCAGATGTGGTGACTCATGCCTGTAATCTCAGTACTTTGGAGGACTGAGGTGGAAGGATTGCTTGAGGCCAGGAATTTGAGACCAGCCTAGGCAACACAGCAAGACCCTGTCTCTATTTTATATATATATATATATATATATTTATATATATATAAATATATATATTTATATATATATATATTTATATATATATTTATATATATTTTTTATATATATATAAATATATATATAAAATATATATAAATATATATATATTTTTATATATATATATATTTTAAATTAGCTTGGTGTAGTGGCACATGCCTGTAGTCCCAACTACCCAGGAGGCTGAGGCAAGAGAATTGCTTGAGCCCACAAGGTTGAGGCTGAGGTGAGCTGTGATCATGCCCCACTGCATTCCAGCCTGGGCAGTAGGGCAAGACACCATCTCCAAAAGGAAGGGTAATGCCTCCAGCTTCATTCTTTCTCAAGATTGCTTTGTCTTTTCAGTCTTTTGTGGCTTCATACAAATTTTAGGAGATTTTTTCTATTTTTGTGAAAAATGTCATTGGAATTTTGATAGAGATTACATTGAATATGTAGATTACTTTGAATAGTGTGAATATTTTAATAATATTAATTTTTCCAATCCATGAACATGAGATATCTTTCCATTTATTTGTGTCTTCTTCAATTTCTTTCACCAATGTTCTATAATTTTCAGTGTAAAATTCTTTCAGCTTCTTGGTTAAATTTATTCATAAGTATTTTGTTCTTTTTGATACTATTGTAAATGATACTGTTTTCTTAATTCTTTTGGATACTTCATTGTTATTGTATACAAATGAAACTGATTTGTGTATGTTGATTTTGTATACTCCAACATTACTAAATTTGTTCATTATTTCTAACAGTTTATTTCAGTGTAATCTTTAGGGTTTTCTGTATATAAGATTATGTCATCTGCAGAGACAATTTAATTTATTTCTTTCCAATTTGAATGCCCTTTATTTATTTCACCTGACTAATTGCTCTGGCTAGAACTTCCAGTACTATGTTAATAGCAATTGTAAGAGTGAGCGGTCTTGTTTTGTTCCTGGTCTTTAGAAAACACTTTTATTTTTTACTACTGTGAATGTTTTAGCTGTGAGCTTGTTTTATATGGTCTTTATTATGTTGATGTACATTTCTTTCATACTTAATTTGTTGAATTTTTATTATAAAAGTATGTTGTTTTGTAAGATGATTTTTTAATCTATTGAGATGATCATATAATTTTTGTGCTTAATTCTGTTAATGTGATGCATCATATTTATGCGCATATATTCAATCATTCTTGAATCCGTGAAAAAATCCCATATGAATATAGTATATCATCCTTTTAATGTACTGCTAAATTTGGCTTGCTAATATTTTGTTTATGACTTTTACATCAATATTTTTCAAGGATATTGGCCTGTAATTCTCTTTTCTTGTAGTGTTTTTATTTGGCTTTGGTATTAGGGTAGTGCTGGCCTTGTGAAATGAGTTTGGAAGTCTTTCCTCCTCTTTAATTTTTTGGAAAAGTTTGAGCAGGATTGGCTTGAATTATTTAAATATTTGGCAGAATTAACCAGTGAAGCCATCTGGTCCTGGACTTTTCTTTGTTGAGAGGGTTTTGATTAGATTCAATCTTTTTACTCATTATTGGTCTGTCTAGGTTTTCTATTTCTTCATGATTCAGTCTTGGTAAGTTGTATATTTCTAGGAATTTACCCATTTCTTCCAGGCCAACCAATTTGTTGGAATATAATTGTGTATAGTAATCTATCAAAATCTCTTCATATTTTGTGGTATCATTGGTAATGTTTCCTCCATATATAATTTTATTTTCTGATCTCCTTTTTTAAGTCCATCTAGCTAAATCATTTGCCTTTCTTATTGATCATCTACTCTCTATTTCACTTATTTCTTCTCTGTTCTTTATTATTTCCTTCTTTCTGCTAACATTGACTTAATTTGTTCTTCTTTTTCTAGTTCTTTAAAGTATAAAGAAGTTATTTGAAATTTATCTTTTTTCTTAATGTAGGTCTTCATTGCTACAAGTTTTCTTAGAACTGATTTAAATTTCTTTTTAAAATATTATTATTTATTACTTATTATTTTTAACTTTTGTGTGTACATATTAGGTGTACATATTTATGGGATACCTGAGATATTTTGATGTAGGCATACAATGCATAATAATGACAACACAATAACATGGGGTATCAATCATCTTAAGGATTTATTCTTCCTTTGTGGTAAAAATAATACAGTTATACTTTTTAAGTTATTTTAAAATGTACGATAAATTGTTCTTGACTACCCTGTTGGGCTATGAAATACTAGATCTTATCCATATTACATAGCTATATTTTTGTATTCACTAACCATCCCACTCCTTTTATCCCCACCCTTCCTAGCCTCTAGTAACCACCATTCTACTCCTCATCTTCTTGTGTTTAATTGTTCTAGTTTTTAGATCCCACAAATAAATGAAAATATGTGAAGCTTGTCTTTTGGTACATGGGTTATTTCACTTAACATACTGATCTCTAGTTCCATCCACGTTGTTGCAAATGACAAGATCTCATTTACTCTTATTGCTGAATAGTACTTTATTGTGTGTATGTACCACATTTTCTTTATCCATTCATCTGTTAATGGACAGACGGTTGCTCCCAGATGTTGGCTATTGTGAATAGTGCTGCAACAAACACGGGAGTGTAAGTATCTCTTCAATATATTGATTTCCTTTCTTTTGGGTGTATACTTAGCAGTAGGGTTGCTGGATCATATGGTAGTTCTATTTTCGGTTTTTGAGAAACCTTCACACTGTTTTCTATAGTGGTTGTGCTGATTTACATTCCCACCTACAGTGTACTAGGGTTCCCTTTTCTGCACATCCTCACCAGCATTTGTTATTGCCTGTCTTTTGGATAAAAGCCATTTTGCTGTTTTTCAAAATGGATTTTATCCAAAAGGGGTGAGATGATACCTCATTGTAGTTTTGTTTTGCATTTCCCTGATAATCAAATGATGTTAAGCAGCTTGGCATTTGTACATCTTCTTTTGAGAAATGATATTTCTCATTTGTATCTATCTGTTTGCCATTTATATATTTTCTTTTGATACATGTCTATGCAGACCTTCTGCCCATTTAAAAAATAAGATTATTAGGCTTTTTCCTGTGTAACTGTTTGAGCTCTTATATATTCTGCTTATTAACCCTTTGTCAGACAGGTAGTTTGCAAATATTTTCTTCCATTCTGTGGGTTGTCTGTTCACTTTGTTGATTGTTTCCTTTGTTGTGCAGAAGCTTTTTAACTTGACATGATCCCATTTGTCCATTTTGCTTTGGTTCTCTGTGCTTGGGGGTATTAATCAATAAATATTTGCCCAGTCCAATGTCCTGGAGAGTTTCCCCAGTGTTTTCTTGTAGTAGTTTCAAGAAACTATAATTTGAGATCATAAATTTAAGTCTTCAATCCATTTTTATTTGTTATTTGTATATGGTGAGAGATAGGGTTCTAGTTTCATTCTTCTGCATTTGGATGTCCAATTTTCTCAGCATCATTTATTGAAGAGACTCTCCTTTCCCCATGTATGATTTTGGCACTTTTGTCAAAAATAAGTTTCCTGTAGAGATATTAATTTATTTATTGGTTCTCTATTATGTTCAATTGGTCTATGTGTCTGTTTTTATGCTAGTATAATGCTGTTTTGGTTACTATAGCTGTGTAGTATAATTTGAAGTCAGGTGATATAATTTCTCCAGTTTTGTGATTTTTGCTCAGAATAGTTTTGGCTATTCTGGGTCTTTTTTGGTTCCATATAAATTTTAGGATTGTTTTTTCTTATTTCTGTGAAGATGTCATTGGTATTTTGGGAGGGATTGCACTGAATCTGCAGGTTGCTTTGGGTAGTATGGACATTTTGACAATATTTATTCTTCCAATCCAACATGGAACATATTTCCATTTTTGCATCCTCTTTAATTTCTCACATCCATTTTTTCAATAAATAAAGTTTTCATTGTAGACTCTTTAACTTCTTTGGTTAAGTTTATTCCTGTGTATTTAATTTTATTCATAGTTATTGTAAATGGGATAACTTTCTTGATTTCTCTTTCAGATTGTTCACTGTCGGCATATAAAAATGCTACTCATTTTTGCATGTTAATTTTTGTATCCTGCAACTTTACTGAATTTGTTTGTCAGTTTTAATAGTTTTCTGGTGGTGTCTTTAGGTTTTTCCAATTATAAGATCATACCATCTGCAAACAAGGATAATTTGTCTTCTCCTTTCCAATTTGGATGTCTTCATTTCTTTATCTTATATGATTGCTCTTGCTAGGACTTTCGGTACTATGTTGAATAATAGTGGTGAAAGTTGGCATCCTTGTCTTGTTCCAGATTTAGATAAAAGGCTTTTAATTTTTCCCCATTCAGTATGATACTAGCCATGGGTCTGCTGTATATGGCTTTCATTGTGTTGAATATGTGCCCTTTATACCCAGTTTTTTGAGGGTTGGTACCATGAAGGGATGTTATATTTTATCACATTCTTTTTCAGCATCAGTTGAGATGAGAATATGGTTTTGTCCCTTATTCTGTCCTTATTTAGGCTGATAATTATTCTGTTGATACGATGTATTTCATTGATTGATTTGCATATATTGAACCATCTTTGCATCCCTGAGACAAATGCCACTTGGCCATGATGAATGATCTTTTTAATGTGCTGTTGAATTCAGTTTGCTAGTATTTTGTTGAGGATTTTTTCATTCATATGCATTAGGGATATTGGCCTTTAGTTCTATTTTTTGAGGCATCTTTGTCTTAGAGTCAATTTTAGACTGATAATAACTTTAATTGCCTACTAAAACCCTACACTTCTTCTTCCTCTCCTCCTTATTTTATGCTATTGACATCACAGTTTTCATCTGTTTATCTTGTGTATCTATTAAAAATTATTTTATATGTACTTATTTTAATACCTTTGTTTTTAACTTCAAAACTATAGTTAAAACTGTTTTATGTACCACAATTACAGTATTAATATAGTCTGAATTTGACTATATATTTTTCTTTTTCAGTGAGTTTTTAATTTTCATATGTTTTCATGCTGTTTCCTAGCACTTTTTTGTTTCAACGGAAAGAAGTCTCTTTAACTTTTCTTGTAAGGCAGGTTAAGTGATGATGAACTCCGTCAACATTTTTTGGGGACTGTCTATCTAACTGTTCTTCATTTCTGAAGGACAGTGTTGCTGGCCATACTATCTTACCTCGCAATTTTTTTCTTTCAGTACTTTGAATATGTCATTTCATTCTGCTCTTGTCTGCAAGGTTTCTGTTGAGAAATCTACTTTCAGTCATATGAAAGTTCCTTTGTATGTGAGAATTCTCCTTTTTTCATGCTGCTTTCAAGATTTTCTCTTTGTCTTTGACTTTTAGCAACTTGATTAAAATGTGTTTTGAAATAATGTTTCTGTGGGTTGATCTTTCTTGGGGATGTATGAACTTTATAAATCTGGATATCCACATTTCTCCTTAGATTGGTAAGTTTTCAGCCATTATTTATTTAAATAAGCTTTCTTCTTCTGAGACTCCCATAATTTTTACATTTATTTGCTTGATGGTGTCCCATAGGTCCTGTATACGTTTCTCACTCTTTTTAATTCTTTTTTCTTTTGGTTCCTCTACATGGCTAATTTCAAATGACTTGTCTTTGAGCTCACTGATTCTTTCTTCCACATGATTGAATTTGCTATTGAAGATCTATTGAATTTTTTCAGTTCTCTCACTGTTTTCTCTGGCTTCAGGATTTCTGGTTTTTTGTTGTTGTTGTTGTTGTTGGTTTGTGTGTGTGTGTGTGTGTGTGTGCGTGCGTTCTATTGCTTTATTAAACTTCTAATTTTGTTTATGCATTGTTTATTGATTTTGTTTAGTTGTCTATCTGTGTTCTCTTGCATCTCATGGAGCTTTAATATAATTAGTTACTAATTCCATTCATGAGGGCTCTGTACTCATAATCTAATCACTTCTCAAAGATACAACATCTTAATACCAACACCTTGGGAGCTGGGTTTCAACATATGAATTTTAGGGGAATAAAAACAATCAGACTATAGCAGTTTCTGTGTATTTCAAGGAACAAACACCTCTTCCAGTCTTTACAGACTGTTTTTTACAGGTAAATGCCTTCTCCTCTTGGGTACCCAAGCTGATGTGGTTTTATCTTGGATCTGAGTCATGTGGAGTTAGAGCCTGGTCATGTGGGTCCACAGTGGGGTCTGTGGTTGGTGGGCCTGTTACCAGGGGCTCCAATGGGTATTGATTCTGTCTGGTACCTGGGTGGACTAGACTGGTTCCAGGACATTGATTATAGGGATGGCTCTGAGACACAAGGGTCTGCTTTAGGGTCCACAGCTAGGTCTGCAGATTATAGGCCTATTACCATTTGCATGAACAGGTGTGGCTCCTACAGGTCTTTTAGAGGGCTTCTCCTGGGTCACTGGGTCATTCCCTGGGCAGGCAGGACTGGCTGTAAACCACCACTATGAAGGGCTGGAACCAAGTCACAGGGCTGCTTCAGGGGCCACAGATGACACAGGTCTTCAGGTCTGCCTCTGATGCCTCTGGGATCATGTAAGGCAGTTGTCCCCAACCTTTTTGGCACCAGAGACAAGTTTCATGGAAGACAATTTTTTCACAAACCTGGGCTGGGAGGGATGGTTTCAGGATGAAACTGTTCTACCTCAGATTATCAGGCATTAGATTTTCATAAGGAGCCTGCAACCTCGATCCCTCACATGTGCAGTTCACAATAGGGTTCACACTTCTATGACAATCTAATGCTGCCACTTATTTGACAGAAGGCAGAACTCAGGTGGTAATGATCTCTCGTCTGCTACTCACTTCCTGCTGTGCGGCCTGGTTTCTAATAGGCCATGGATCAGTATGTGTCCATGACCTGGGAGTGGGGAACCCCTGATTTAGGGCATAACTCTGGTTCCTGGGTTGGCAGGACCACTCCTGGACTGCTACTGAAGGTGGGGGTGGGGGCTGGAGCTGGGTAACAGGGCCACTTCAAACTCCTTAGTAGAACTGAGGTTGATATGGATGGGCATGTCTCCAGGCAAGTCTCTGAGCAGGCAGGACTGCTCCAAGGCCACAGCTGAGAGGGGCTGGAGGCAAGTCACAGGGCCAGTTCAGGATATGCTGTGGGATGGGGGTTGGCACTGGCAGGTCTGGCTCTAGAAGCATGAACAGATGTCTCTCGGTGGTTCACTGGGCAGGCAGGACTGCTCCCAGACCATGGTTGAGGACTGGAGCCAGATGATGAACTGCTTTAGGGTCTACAACCAGGATTGAGGTCAGTGGGCATCCAAGCCACTGTAGCCAACTATTGCCACGTGTGGCACAAGTGGATGTTACTCCTCCCAGATCCCTTAGCAGGTGGTGCTGGTGGTGCAGGATCAAAGCCAACCAGGTCTGTATGTGAGTCTAACAGGGGATGGGGCTGTTTTCAGGACCAGAGTTGGTGAGCCTGACACGTTGGGCATGAGCCTGTAGTTTCAAGATGGCTCTTCTTGGTTTTGGACTCCATCAGCGTTTTGCAACCTCCTACCTGGATCCCAAAGCTCCCACAAGGCACTTTTGTTTGTGGATGAATGCCAAATTATTGTTGCTATGGGGAATACAAGCAGGAGACCACCTATTCTGCCATCTTGCTGATTCACTCTGAATATTTTATAATTTTTTTGTATTATTTACTATCATATAGGGTTAAACCTGAAAGAACCATACAAGATTTTACATTCCCCTTTACTTAGTGAAATTCTGTAACCGTGAATGGCTAATGTTTATGAAAAATCTTCAAGTACATCTGTAATTAACAGATAATTATGTGGTTTATATTATACTGCCAGTTGTTTTTTTGTAATGTCATGAAATCTATAATAAACTATCTTTTCTTTATTGATCATTTTGCTAGGACTAATTCAAATTAAAAACACATATTTTCTTGTTTCAAATGTCTGAAGACTGCAAATAATAAGACTTCTTATTAATACCCTTGTGTCATTTGTACTTTACCAATGTTTTAATATTGGGTTATTTCTTTAGAATTTTTAGATTCTGCATTTAATTCTTCAAATATATCACCTACAGTGAATCTTTATTGTGGAAACATCAAGGATAACTTTGATAGTTACTTTACATATTAGATTATCATTGAATTGAGACGTGAAGGTTGATTAATCAAATTCCTTTGAGGCCAGTCTGAGTCTCATGATTAGATGTACTTAAAGAAGCAAGGAACTAGATAAGGAATTGCAAAAACATTGAAGTTTAGGAGTAGAATTTATTTGGGGAAGTTTGTTCTTTAATGGTATTTCTGCATAGCACAAATGAGTGTGCCATTAATATTTATCACTGGTTTTACTCAATGGGATTAGTGCCACTGGTTGATAATCCCAAAGTTTTATCTGAATATTATGAAGAAAAATAATTTCTTATGATGGAAAGTAGCTTCTATTATAGTCAAAAACCATTTATTTACTTATTTTAAAAACTTGTTATATTAAAGACAATTTTCCATTCAAGAGCAGCAAAGAAAAGGTCAAATTTATTCTCTGGCTTATTTGAATATACTTTTAATCCCCATGTAGATTTTTTTAAAAAGTAAAAATAGCAATTTGGATAACATCAGAGATGATATTTCAGAAAAAAATGCTTATTTAGTGAGACATCACTTAATATTCAGAATTGTATTATAGTTGATTGATTAATAAAGTTCAAATCCAGAAGACAATATCCATCCTCTTACATTATACTCAGTTTATTGACTCAAAAGAATGGAATTGAAACTGATTGAAAAAAGGTTAATACACCTTAATAGATGACGATCTGGGTTAGCTACTTAGTGTTAGAGGCAAGTCTGAGAATCAGTTTCTATGTTTTTATAAAACTGCTGCTTTGACTCCAAAACTATCATTCACATAAATCCTTCCTAACTTGTTTAAAACAGTTTCCTGAATATTGCTTTGATTTTTTTAGCCATTATCATTTATCATCAGAAAATATGCTTAACTTTAAATTTCTCATGATGCAAAGTAAACTCATTTTTTCTTATTTAAAAACTTTCTGAATATTGACAACTGGTATAAACTCAAATACTATTTTTCTTACTTTAATCTAAGTAATATCTGAATATTTTGTGATACTAATCTTGTTTCACATTGCTTTCGCATTGTAGGATCTTGAAATCAATACAGGAAAATTCATAAATAATTTGAAGTGTAAGATATTTCACTCTTCTCTTTTTCTGTCTTTGTAAAATATGTATAAAATGGGTAGTAAATAGCCCTGTATGTAATTTTTATGATAAAATAATGTTACATATAATGCATTTTTGTATAATAACCAGAATATATCCTGATTGACCAGTTTTCTTTTTAATTTTGCTATTTTCTGTTGACAACAGTAAGTCACAGATTTTTATTCATTTCAAAAATATTTCTTTCCTTCCACCAAAATTTTCACTTGGTCCATACTTACTGTTTTTTCACTTTAGCATACACTCTACCTAGAAAGTGTTGCTTTTACTTCATAGAAATTCAGTTTTCTGGTTAATTGCCACAGTAATCTTTACAGAAAACATACCACGACTGGCTCCTCTGATGATTCTTTCATCTCTTCGGCCTCCTCTCACAATCCATGTGTTCAATTTATACTGTGTTAATTTGTACAGTGAATAATGTTGCTTTGTACATGTTTTTTCCTTTAGGTCTTTAAAAGTATATGTATTCCATCTCCCTGACTACATGGCAAACTTTAAATGGGGAAGTCACATATTTATATTAGCTTCTCTATTTCCTTTCTCCCTCCTACTACTTGTTTTGGTACTCTAAGATAGTGGACTTTTTGATGTACTGAAATGTAACTAGGAATTTCTCATTGTAGATCACTGTAGTTCATTATTTTGACAGATTATGAATGTCATTTCCATGTTTGGGATGATAAATGGATTAGATTAAAAACTAAACATAAAAATGAACTAAAACAACTTATAATAAATATAGAAATGCTGTAATATTATTTTCTTGATATTCAATTCTATAAAATACTGCCGATGATGATGATGGTGATGATGATGATGATGATGATGATGATGCTGTTGCCGCTACTGCTGATTTTTAGAGATGAGCTCTCACTCTGACACCCCTCTATTATTTTTGAAAGGAATATATGTTGCAAATACTGTACAGTTTTTCTTGAATTTAAGTATATTGTGTGATTTTCATTTTGTATGTTTAGCATCATTAGTTTTATGACTGAAGAAATAAAAAATGCAGTTTGCAGTGTTGGTTCATTAGAACACACAAGACCCCAACCATAGCTCTTTGCCTTAGTCACAGGCATTTCATCTGGGCAAGGCTGTGAGATGTCTGGCCCAATTTGCAGGTTTGGCAAAACCAAGTGTCCCTTTCCTTGAATCTGCTCAGTTTCATCAGCCTCTTACCAACCTCAGAAAAATTGCCCACTCATTTAAAAAAAGAATTTATGATTGCCACCAGGCAAGTTTTAAATATTTATTTTATTAGCTTTTATAACACTGATTTCCTCTTAAAGGTATTAGTGAATATCCTTACAAACTGTTAAGTCGATTGTAGTCTATCAAACAGTTTGTGGGTACAGTTGGCTCAGGTTTCAGATAAATATTTACTGACATCACCAAACTTAATGTAAGAAAATAATGAATAGTGATTTTATAATTTGACCTAACCAATCTAATAGCAGAGCTACATTGTTTATTACATATGTTATTAAATCACTTTCAATTCATTTAAACAATTTACCAGCACATGTTCTATATAGAAGGATCTATTTGCTTGAAAATATTAATATTTATGATTTAGTATTGATATTTTTAACACCTACATTAAATTGAATCCTGTCAATTCCCTAAATAATAGTATAGAAAATATTGAAAATAATTAAAAACTAAATTTGGAATCAATAAAATTACTTTTATGTATTCATTTTGTTTTATCTGAAATATTAAACATACTTAAAAGAAATATTATTATTTTTATATAATTAAAAGAAAATCATTTTCATTATGATTAAACATATTATACTCTACAGTAAAATTTTTATTTACTTAGCTCATTTGTAGCAAATAGTCAAAAGAGGTATATACTATATGTATCTTAATATATCTATTTTCCTATAAGAAGTATAAGAATAAACAGAAACAGGATAATATATAAAAATTATATTTGTCTTAATTTTAAAATGTCTAATATAGTTCATAGAGTACATTAAATAATTTTAAATTGTTAACAGGTTTTCAAAAGTGAGCACAAGAATGATTTATGTCTCCTATCAATATATGAAATGTATTTGCTTTAAAGGACAATTTATTAAAAATTAAACATAATATATTTCAGATTTACCTTGTATCACAGGATATCAAAAGAAGATAATTTTCAAATAGTTATTTGTATTGAAGAATATTAACAACATTAAAATTACAAATGGCATTTTTGTTGACACATGTCTAAATGGGTCAAGAAATGATTAGATTTCCTACTAATTATGAAAAAAAGAGGTAGATATTAGGTTGTATAGGTAGACTAACTTTCACAGGAACCACTTAAATAGTTTTTCTTAGACTTCAGTGCCCAGTGCTAATGATGGTAAGTTTGTTGCAGATAAAAGGTATTTGTTATTACATTTGAAATAAAGTATTTAAAAATATTATATTCCATGCTCTATTAAAATAAATTATTTTCCATGCAGTGTTCAGGAAATAGAAGTACCTTTGGTCAAATAAATCTTAGAATATAGACAGAGTAAAATTTCCCCATGTAACCAAATACATTTTTTGAAGAGGTAAGTCAAAAGCTTTTCTCTGTTGTCTAAAATCGCCCGAAAGAAAAATTCATTAATGTTGACCGGGTGCATATTCCATTAATTTCCCTTTCTGTCTTCACCTCTTTCCTTGTTGATGAAGCGTTCATTTAGGGAGATGTTGTGTCTTGCACTGTTTATTCATCCTTGATTCTGGATCTAGTAGGGATGAAAGTTGTCCTTAATGTATTCAAATAGAAGCTAAATTCATCTTATTTGCAGGTAAGATGAGAATGGTCTTTGAAATTATAAATATAATTTCAATATAAGATAAAGATGGCTTTCCTGAAGTGACTTCATTTGTACTGTTCAAAATATATTGCTTTACAAAAAATTCAGAAGTGACACAAATGATGAGACTCCAGGAACCATTTGAAACTCTTCTTTCTGATGAATGCTGACTGCCTTTTAATTAGTTAGAAGTGTATCTTCATTCATTATAATAGACATCAATTATTGGTTCATAATGGGTTTTCAGAAAGTATAAAATGTGCCTCAGTAAGTTGACCAATTGAATCAGAAATGTTGTGGAACTCAAGTTAGTATACCATTCTCTTTTTATACCATATTAAGTCAATGTAGTAAACAATTAAAGTAGAACTGCTGATATTAAAAATATAAATTGGAACTAAAAAATTACAATGCAGTAAATATGAAGATAAACAGTTCATGATGTTAGTCCTCCATGTTTTTATAATCTTGGAAAAAACACTTCAGCACACTCCATTAAAATCTTATGATTAATGAAAAAAGGATTACAGCTAGATAACATTGTGAAAGGATTAACTTCTTCACTGATATGCAGAACAAATGAAAACCATTGTTTCTGGTTATGTATTCTACACCAAGACAAACAATAAATGTTTGTTTTATGTATTTATGAAAAATCTCAGAAATGAAGTATTCTATTAAATCCAATAATAACTGCTGGTTAAATATAAAGGAGTCATTAGTCAGTTATTCCCATTGCTTGTTGGTAGTACTATCTTAGTTCTTAAAGCATGAATACGAATTTACTTGCAGCGTTGCACTACATATTAAGAGTTTCTTGGAGAAATCAAGAAACAACTAATATAAACATTTAGCTCTAATTGGTTTTGCAGTTTGTAACAGTTCGGGACAAGGAATGTGAGGGCCAGAAGAGAAAATACAATAACAAATACTATGAATAGAAAGGGAATATTATACACTGTGTGTGTGTGTGTGTGTGTGTGTGTGTGTGTGTGTGAGAGAGAGAGAGAGAGAGCAGGGGAAGGAGAGAGAGAGGGAGGGAGGAAGGGAAAAGGGAGGGAGCAGGAGACAGAAAAAGAGGGAGAGAGAGAGATGCTAGTTTCATTTTATAACCTTGAGGAAATAATTTCATCATTTCACTTAACATTGTCTATTTTGAACACTGCCCAACATGTCTCAGATACTCTACCCTTATACTCCCATCCCCACACTACTTTATGCTTTCTTTATTTTGTATTCTCACATTTTCCTGGTTTTCTAGTACTATTCTTCTGCCCTAAAACTGCCTGATTGTTTATAGGTCTTACAATCTGCCTTCTTAGCCCTTACATTTAGGAAAATGATTTTCTGCTAAGAAAGATTACAGGACTCTTCTAGATTGAGTCGGCAAATTTATCATCTCCAACCTATACTGGAACCTCAATATTGTGAAAATATTTCTGGCTCAACTTCTACTCCTGCTCCTCCCAGAGTATTTAGAAACTTTCATTAAGCTGTTAAAGACTCTTTTTTTAATATGGTACAAAATGGCCATCACAAATTTCACATAAAAGTCAGTAGGAGAGTTGCCACCTTCCTCCACCTTTCTCCTTCCGGTTCATTGTTCATATTACTTTCATAATGATATTTCTGAGATGCAAGTCACTTTACTCACTTGCTTAAAATTTTCATTGTCTCCTTGTGTTCATTATGATAAAAACTACTCCTAAGCATGATCTTTGAAACCTTTGAATGACTTTGGAATCTTTCAGCAACTACTATTGATCACCTCCTCTAGTGTCTAGGCACACTTCTCTGTGCTTGGGACATATCAGTGAACAGTATACGCAAAGATCCCTGCCTTCACGGAGATTATATTCCAGTGGTGGAAGAGATAATAACTGCTAAATATAGTATGTAAGTAAATTATCCAGTATGTTAGAAGATGACACATGCTATAGAATTAAAAAGTTGATCAGCAGTTCAGGGATTGAAGAGGCAGGTTTGGTCTAATAGACTGGTCAAGGTCAGTCTTATTGAGATTTGAGTGCATGTTTACCTCCACATGCACCCCAATTTCCCATCATACCTTACTATTTTCCTTTTCCCAAACATATTTTCTTCTGTCACTTGTTAGCACTGTGGTTTTACATAGAATGTACAGTTTCCATGAAAGCCTTCTCTGCCCAGCCCATTTCTACCTTTTAGTCCACCCTTTGCTGTGACATAATTCCCCCCAAAAAGTTTTCCCTTACTACCCATTTACTCCTGGACAGGTTGGTTGTTCCTCTTCTGTATTACCACAAACTCCTGGTGTTTTTGTAATGATTTATGTATTTTATATTACGTTTTCCTTGGTTATGCTACAGCAACAAAAGAACCCTAAATCTCAGTGGTTTATTTCTCATTCATTATATTTGGGCTGTAGCAACTGCAGGATGATTGTGGCTCTGCTCTGTGTGTGTGTGGTTTTTTTCATTCCAAGAATAACCCATATTGAAACATATCTTTTTCCTGGCAGAAGGAAAAAAGAATAGCAAAACATGTAATGGCTCTTAAAATTTCTGCCCAGGTGTAGCATACATCACTTATGCTCACATTCTATTGGACAAAACAAGTGACATGGTGAAGTCCAAAGTCAATGGAGTGGGAAGGATTCCCACAGGGAATCCTTTCAAGTCATTTGACATGGGATGGGATGGGAGATAGAATGCTCTTATAGGAGGAAACAGAGTAATTAGGAACAACCTAGTCTACCACACTTGTATGTCTTTCACAGTAGACTCTGGGCAACTTGAGTTAAAGTTTTGGGGATTTCATCATCAAGTATATTTCCTGGTACCTAACAGCAGCTTAATAAAAAGCTTTAAAAGTGAAATGAGAAAAAGAAGAAGGGAACTAAGATGTATTTATTTATTTAATTAGAAATGGAGTCTCACTGTGTTGCCACTGGAGTGCAGTGGCAAGGTCTCAGCTCACTGCAACCTCTGCCTCCTGGGTTCAAGTGATTCTCCTGCTTTAGCCTCCCAAATAGCTGGGATTACAGGCGCCTGCTATGACTCCCGGCTAATTTTTTGTATTCTTAGTAGAGATTGGGTTTCACCATGTTGGCAAGGCTGGTCTCAATCTCCTGACCTCGTGAGCCGCCCGCCTTGGCCTCCCAAAGCACTGGGATTACAGGCGTGAACCACCGTGCCCTGCCGGGAACTAAGATTTATTTCATGTCTTGTACCAGACACCACTATGTTTTTTAATCTCCATATTACAAATGAGGCAAATGTGATTCCTAGGTAAAATAACATGAATGACACACAGTTAAGAAGCAGTATGTGCAAAATTTTAACTACAGTCTGTCTTACTTTAAAGCTGTTTTCTACTTCACCATCCTGTCTTTGTAGAAGTATACTATCTACAAATCTTATGTAGTGATTTCTTAATATTAAGGAAAAGAAATAGATATCATAGTACTATCAATGGTGATTATATTTCTGCAACAACTCTTGCATTTGACCTATTCTGATCATACCTCCTACCATTTTTCTATTTCACGCATTTGTTACATCCCATTTAGATTTCCATAATAACCCCTTAATTATTCTCTTTTCTCTCTAGGTTCCATTCTATAAGTAATGTTTCTAAAGTAATGTTACTAAAGCATATCTTTTATCATGCCATTCTTCTATTCAAACGTGTTTTAAGGTTTCTAATTATCTACACTACAAATTTTAGTCTATGTTTTTAACCTACACAGTCTCACCGATCTTTCTCAAATACCTATGCTAAACTATTTAAATCTTTATAATCAGAAAACTAGATTAACTTTGCCAAATACACACTTTGCTTTCTCTGCTTGCTCCATCTGGAATAACCCTTCTTTTGCCTTCAATTAAAGAGATGCACTTCAACTTGTAGACAAATGCTGCTTATTCCATAAACATAGTTCAATCCCCAAGTGATTTCTTCCTCCTCTTTCCATGCACATTGTAACTATAAAATGACAAAAGTTATGGAAGATTATTTAGAGTGGTTGTCAATATGATAATCATCTTCAGATATTTGAAAGGCTGTTAGCTGGAAGAACAATGGATTTTTTTTGTAGTTCTAAAGGGAACAAGAACAAGTATGGATATGTTATGGAAGAATGGATTTCAGCAACTTCAGTATCTGTTTCAAGAAAGTAAATTCTTTCTTCAAAGGAAGTGTTTAAGCAATATCTAGATGCTTCCTGATTGCAGATATTATGGTTTGAACCTTGTTATTCATCTCATAGTAGTTTGTATCTGTGGTGTTTTCCCTACTAGACTTGAGCTCTTTATGAATAAGGACTTCTGTCATGTTTATATTTGTGTCTCAGAGTTCATTAGATTGGATTTGTTATGCAAAAAGTATATGGACACCACACATGACCCCAACCCCATGCGGTGTAAATATAAAATAGATTTTATTGAGAGAAAAACTTGCAGGCAAACAAATAGCAGAGCATGCGTCATTCACCAACCTCTTACAATCCTAATGCAAGTGGGTTTATACTGTTCAAAGTTTGGCTGCATGCACTATACAAAGTGACCCAGCTGAAGGGGCATCAGTGGCAGGATACATCTAGTGAAGCATAAATTCTCTGCTAGAGAAATGGACATTCTAAAAAAGGAGGAGCCTCTGAATCTCAGCCTCTGATATCAATTTATTCTTCCTTTGAACTAAGATCTGCTGAAGCGACTTTTTGCTAAGTTATCAAAAGTGTTAAAAAAGTAGGTCACCATGATATTAAAATCTGTTTATCTTTATACTTGAAATTCCTTTGAATGAAAACAAGTACCACCTAGCAGTGGTACTGAAAGAAAAAGACAGTAAATAGATGCTTATCATTCTTATATTTTTATTTGACAACAGAAAAGAGGGTAGAAAATGAAAAAAAAAAGGACTATTGAGTCCAGTTAGAAATTAATAGTTAATGTCATCAGTAGGAAGTGTTTCAAATCTTTATCAGCTGTAAGAAATAGAAGCCAGTGACTCTGGCTAACTACAAGGAAGGGGAAGTAGTCCAAGAAGAAGGACCATAACAGAATGGGTGAGATGACTTGTAGACTGGGCTTGTGAGGTGCAAAAACTGAGGTAGTAGCAGAGGAATTAAAGGAAGGAAGCTGGGAAAAAACTCTAGGGAGCAGAGCAGACTGGTCAACACAAGCACATGCTACAACAGGAATGAACCTTGAAAGCATTATGCTAAGTGAAAGAAGCCAAACACAAAAGGCTACATATTGTACGATTCCATTTATGTGAAATATTCATCATATGTAAATACATAGTAATAGAAAGTAGACTAGTGGTGCTAGAGGCTGGAGAGAGGGGAAAACAGAGAGTAACTGTTTAATGCGTATCAAGTTTCCTTTTATTATTATTATTATTATTATCATTATTTGTGAGACAAATCTTACTCTGTTGCCAAGGCTGGTTTGCAATGGCACAATTTCAGCAAACTGCAACCTCTGCCTCCCAGGTTCAAGTGATTCTCCTGCCTCAGCCTCTGGAATAGCTGGGATTACATGTATGTACCACCAGGCCTGGCTAACTTTTGTATTTTTAGTAGAAATGGGGTTTCACCATGTTGGCCAGGCTGGTCTTGAACTCCTGACCTCAAGTGATCCACCTGCCTCTCCCAGAGTGCTGGGATTACAGGTGTGAGCCACCACGCCCGGCCCAAGTTTCCTTTTGACATGATGAAATGTCTTAGAGCTAGATAGAGGTGATGGTGGCACAACACTGTGAGTGTACTAAATGTCAATGAGTTGTTCACTTTGAAATGGTTAACGGTTAGTTTTATGTTGACATTATAAAATTTTAGTTCAATTAAAAAAAACAGATTGACTCTGGGAGAAATGAAATTCTAACAATTTATTCGTTTTTCTCTGTACTTGCCTAAGATTAAAACTTTTCAGTTTTCAGGCCAAATTTAGGTCATGTGTCCTCCTTTTTGTGGTATGGGGACATTGAAAGGAAATATCCTCCCCCTTAGACTTCTTAGTGAGAGGTAGGCTTCAGGATTTCATGGGCCTCCAAGAATAGAGAGAAAATGGGAAGGATGTAATTTCCCCAAATAATAATAATTCTATTAGTAATGCATAGTGAATACTGGGCATACAGAAACACCCCTAAAATATCCCTATATAAGGCAAAAAAAAAAATCTGGTGTTTGTAAACAAAGTTGATAAGATGTCTTAAGAATCTTCAAACATATTTACTACGATTTTTAGAGTCTAGCTTTTTCTTAACAATATATGTGGGCCAGGCACGGTGGCTCACGCCTGTAATCCTAGCACTTTGGGAGGCTGAGACAGGTGGATAACTTGAGGTCAGGAGTTCAAGACCAGCCTGGCCAATATGGTGAAACCCTGTCTCTACTAAAAATACAAAAATTAGACAGACACGGTTGTGTGTGCCTTTAGTCTCAGCTACTCGGGAGGCTGAGGCTGGAGAATCGCTTGAACCTGGGAGGTGGAAGTTGTTGTGAGCCGAGATCTGAGATCACACCACTGCAACTGCACTCCAGCCTGGGCGACAGAGTGAGACTCCATCTCTCTCTCTCTCTCTCTCTCTCTCTGTATATGTGTGTGTATATATATATCTGCCTCACCCAGAGTGCTGGGATTACATAGTGCTGTGTATAGATCTCTCTCTCTCTACATATATATATATATATATATATATATATAGTTGTTCTGTATGTAAAACAAGTGCTTTGGAATATTCAAATAGTGAAAATTAAATTCGAATTAAATTTGATTCCCTTTGAATAGCTACTAGAACATATATTGTGCAGAATTCAGATAATAAGTGGAGCTGGCATACAGCCTCTTGTGAAAACAGTATAGGAAAAGGGGCATAACAATTAGTTCATATTTCACAAATCACATTTCTTAGAATTCTTTGAGGAACTGTTTTGATTAAAACGTGGGGATTTAGATTGGTTTTCTTAAGGTGTTTGAGAAGTCTTAAGGGGGATTATTGAGAAAAACTAATGATAAACTGACACTTGATTTTTAGGACACAGAGAGTATAAAGAATTCAGCTTCAGGTTATGTCTGCTTCTATTTCTGTGTCTAATATGAACAGCATGCAGTGATGCTTGTTCTCTGTGACAACTATGAAAGTTGCACCAGAAAAAGTATTTAAATTTTGTACAAAATTGAATATAATCTCATCAATGTGCCTGTTTTATGTGTAAAGGAAATAGCTTGGTTAGTCTGTATTTATTCCAAGGAATTTACCTGAAATGCAGATGACCTGCACTGTACTCATATACTATAGTAATGCATCAGGCAAGTGTTTATCCAAAAGGGAGGAAATTAATATCAACTTTCTAATACACAATATGATTTTTTTTTCTTGGAACACAAGTCAGAAAACATACAGATTTAGACATCAATATAACAGAGTAAAAGAATCACTGGGTATGAATTCCAAATACCACAGTTTGAGTACTGAAGGCTATTGACTACCTTTGCAAACTCAAGCAGGGCATCAGACTTCTCTGTAACTTAGTCATTTGCCTTAAAGTAATGTTGTGGAAAGTAACAGACAAGTGTCATTTGTTATAATAAATTTTCTGGGTTTTTTTAAATTTTATGGAATCTTTCTCAAAAAACATCGATCATGGTTTTAATGCTGTTTGAGATAAAATGAGGGAATAATCGGAGTAGGTTAATGTCATGAATTACCCATTCTACTAAAACGCTTATTCTGCAAATTAATGTTTTTCCATTGGCAAAATTATACATTAGCTACTAGTGTGGGTGAATGTAATCTACCACTAGTAAATTTTGACCGTGAGTTACCCTTGTTATCAAGCTTCACCTCTTACTATCTTTTCACCATACACTTTATACACAGTGAGTTCATTTAACACTGGTTCCTGGTTCTGGTCTATTTATCTTCCATAATGCAATTCACAGTGTTAAAATAAAATGAAAACCAAAAAAACCAACCCAGTGTGAAATCTGTAGGTGACAAGGTACAACAATAGGACAATGGGAATGAAACCAGTAATGTTAAATAAGCACAGATGGAGAGTGGCGAGCAGTGACTTATTCTTTGGGATGGTGAGGAATGAGATGCGAATTGACAGATGTGTGGTAGAAGGGAGGGGAAGATAAAAGGAAGACTAGAGAGACTGTGCTGAAGGTGAGGGATGGGAGGACAACCAGGATCAGTATCCAAGCACAATTGGTTGTACTTAGATTCTATTTTAGATTATGTCAAATAACACTTTTAGCCATGTAGCTATTTGAAACTGGCATTTAATTAGTGAATGACAAGCAAGAAATAACAAGGTGACATGGAAGCACTTAAGAATAAAGCTATCATTAGTTCTTTAGCAGTTTATACTTGTAAAAGTTTTGTATTGTCCTTTATTAAACCTTCACACGATTACTGTGAGAAAGATGGATAACAAGAACTAGCTACTCTCTCTTCCATGTGGACTAAACAAACGGAAATTGAGTAAAAATAGTTGAGTAAAAATGTCTTGGCTAAAAAGCCCATAGCTGTGCTGTAAAGTATTTCCTAAATGAATTGCCCATTTTAGTAAATGGCTATTGAATGTACTGATCTTCATTTTTACAATACATCAGCTTTATGCCAAGGTGATACATTCTAAGACCTAGGGTTTAACCTAGACATAGAAGGCAAAGTCAGCTTTCTACAGTGTATGTTTGGCACTCTCTGGCCCTAAAATTTTCCTTCACATGACTGTCACATTTCTTGAAATTTTCACATTTTTTATTATTTGGGATGAGTCACTGAGGGCCCCCACAATGGAAAATAGTGTCTGCTTTATGCTATACATTAATTTTAGCCATCTATATTTACACAGATAATTTTCAGAATAATTCCTAATCATCTAGAAAAATTTCGAGAGAAAGGAACACAGGGCAGGTCATTTTCAGTGTAGCAGGGAAGTATATCAGGAATCATTTAAGACAAGAGTCACTGGATGGAATTCCCCAGTGGTGGCTTGGGAGCATGAAAATCTCTGGTAAAGGAGTCCAGCCTTTTGAAATGATAAACAGCATATCTAGTAATTGAATTAGCCATTCAACAAATATTTATAGAACCCATATAATGCATCAGGCACTGATCCTTGGTGCTGAGGATAGAGTAGTTAGTAAGACAGACAAAAATCCCAGTCCTCATAGAGCTTAAATTCTATGGGAAAGATAGACAATAAACAATGATAAATGATAAAATGCATATAGTATATTAAATATTGGCATGTGTTAAGGAGAAAAATAATGCGAAGTAGGGGATAAAAAGTGTGTGTGTGTGTGTGTGTGTGTGTGTGTGTGTGTGTGTTTCCCGGAAAGGAGGGTTATCTCATGGGAAAGGCTGAAGGAAACCAGAAAATGAAACATCTGAGGGAAGATCTTTCAAGCAGAGGAAACAGTCAAAGGCATTTGATAATCTCATGATGGTGTAAGGAAATAGAAATTTCAAAATGAATGTTGAAACACTGAAATAACTTCTTTAATAATTTTGCTAATGCCAGTCTTTCCTTGCATCACATCTTCAAATAAGCATACAGACAGCAGTGCTTGCATTATCTCACCACTCACTTTGCTACCCAGGTATCTGGTGCTTTACTAAAAGCACTATTATCTACAGGCACTCTCCTAAAAATCTCATCTCTCTCTTTGGCCCATACCTCTATATCCCTCTATTTATCATTTGACTCTTGGTTTCTCCATGTCTGGAAATGGATTTCTTCGTCAACTTTTGTTACCCTTCCACTCTTTCACCATCAATATCTTTGATTTTCAGGTCCTTTACTTTTTGTGAAAAATCAGTCTATAACTGCCAAGCTGTAATGATTCCCATCACCCTTGCCTTGGATTAGGTCTTCCTCTATCACCTGGATTCAGGCACTATCTTTTCCTTCCCTCACAGCCCATCACTCCTCCCCATTGACTACCACTGTGCTTCATATGCACAGGAGGTGGGGATGTGTGTGGGGTGGAGGTGCCTGATGAGGACACTGTCATTGCCTCTTACTGTATGCTGATACTGCTCTGATGCTTGGCCATCTTCAAACTGAGCAATGGACAGCTCTACTGCAGCACCACTATCAGCTGCTCCAGTTGTCTGCTGAGCTTCTTAAAGTCAAGACAATTCCATTTCCTTCCAGGAGATCTGGAGCCCTTTATCTCAGCTTTGTCAGTATTTCCAGCATGCTACTTGATCCGAGGAATGTTGGGTTAAGGATGGTTCTAGACTGATACCTATCTGGGTACAAACCTCTTGGAGGAAGGTAACTTTTCCTTTTAAAAGTTTCAAATAAATCCCAGCACTTTGGGAGGCCAAGGTGGGCAGATCACGAGATCAGGAGATCGAGACTATCCTGGCTGACACAGTGAGACTCTGTCTCTACTAAAAATACAAAAAATTAGCCAGGTGTGGTGGCACACACCTGTAGTCCCAGCTACTCGGGAGGCTGAGGCAGGAGAATCGCTTGAATCCAGGAGGCGGAGGTTGCAGTGAGCCGAGATTGTGCCACTGCACTCCAGCCTGGGCGACAGAGTGAGACTCCGTCTCAAAAAAAAAAGAAAGTCTCAAATAATTTTTCTGTAGATAATTGGCTGCTTGCCTGCTTTTCTGAGGGAGGCTGCCCTTAAGGACTCCATGATAATTTATCTCTTAAGGGAGGTTCTAGGTAGGAAGACTTGGTCATGAATACAAAAGTATTTTTCTGGCAACACTCTTGTTGAGAAAATGAGAGAACCATCTTTCCTTCCCCAACCCCAACATATAAATTTCATATATGATGAGATACCCAGCCTTACAATAGTAAAAAAAAAAAGTGTTCTAAATTCTTAAGGAGTTTATAACATAGTTGAGAAGAATAGAGTTATACTTACCTTAAAGGGAGGAAAACTGTCTTGCATCCGTTTGGAGTCTCTTCATTCAAGGCTCACCACTATTTGTTGATGATATTGCTGCATAAAGTAACTAAGAGAAGATGATGTATTAAGTCATAGGTTTGCAAAATGTAAAAAAGGCCATTTAAGTGGAGATGTCCAAATAGGAAACAAAAGTAAGTAAGGCAAAGGTGAGCTCTTTGGACCTAAACTGCAGATTAGATTGTCATCTATATAGTGATGACAGAAAAAAAAATATAGATTGGTATTTTAGAAGAAATCAGTTCCAGTTAAACGTTATGTTACATTGTGTTTCAACAAGTAATAATGGTAATAATAAAATATTTTCTTTATTGAGTGATAATTATGTGCTAAAATTTTGTTCCAAAAGCTCCTGGAGTTATCTCACTGAAGCCTTTCAACAATCCTATGGTATAGATGGTGCTATTATTTTTGTTTTACAGATGAGACTCAGAGTAGCTTACTTGTCCAAGATTATACATTATATGGTGGAGCTTAAATTAGAACTTAAGAAGTTGGATTTCAGAATTTGTGCACTGAAGAAGACAAATAGCTGATGGCTATTGCTATTTTTTATATTGCTATATATGGCTGATTTGTTTGCTTATTTTTGAATGTATGTATGTATGTATATGTATAGATGTTTGTTTAGTACTGCCTCTGATCCTTTAACTAATCTTGTCCTTAGTGAGAGGACAGTTATAAGATCCTAGGCTTATAGCACAGAGGCTTAACATTGTTGTCTTCTATTCATGACTCATTCAGGTCTTATACCTAATTTGAGGGACATAGCATTTGCCTGATGAACCACTTCCAGGATCTTATTGCTCCTCAATATTATTTCCATTTTGGTTATTTGGGCGGCATCCCCATTCTGCCTTTGCATGCTGCAAACTATCCCTATTACCAACACTCTATTTTCCTATTTAATTAATTTCCCAACTCTTCAGGTTTACACAAAGCGCAGTTTGAACTTACTCCTTCACCACCTGAGAGAATACAACCAAGATACTTTTCAGGTGGTAACATCTACAGGCCTCGGTGATTGATTGGCTCAGAGGTGAGGAAG
This sequence comes from Homo sapiens, assembly GCF_000001405.40. Taxonomy (NCBI): domain Eukaryota; kingdom Metazoa; phylum Chordata; class Mammalia; order Primates; family Hominidae; genus Homo; species Homo sapiens. The sequence goes on along the minus strand of NC_000007.14, from coordinate 113,972,446 downwards.
AACTGTCTCCAGCGCTACTAACACTTCCTTACTAGCTAAATAGATGGGATATTGGACATTAGCCCACCCCACACTTCTGGTCTGAATGGCTGAATGGATGCCATTCAGAGGTATTAATAATTGAAGGTGGGGACAAAGAAAGCGTTAATAATGAACATAGTCTGTTGACTGGCTAGCTGGTAGTACCATCAACTGAAACAGAAAATGTTGAAGAGAAAAACCTTTGGGGACAGTGTGGTAAATTACAGATATAATTTTGGACATAGTAGTTTTAATTTGCCTTTGAGAATGAAGGTAAATATATAACTCAAGTTTAGGGAAGGGTTAGAGTAAGAAAGAGAGACATGAGAGCTATCTACATGTGATTTTATGTGTCTACAGAGGCATTACCACAGAATGGCTTGGAAGAGACAGAATTTATGTTAATTACCAGCAATATTTATAACTATATCCTAATAAAAATAATATTTTTTCATGTGAAGGACTTATGCTTTGCCATACTTATATAAAGGCTAAATAAAATCCTACAAAATATTGCCATTTTATTGAATATAATATACAATCTAAATAAGAACAGTACACTTGCTCTGCAAATGTAGCTTCCTGACAAGTTTCCTGGCTTAGCCAGATTGCTGCCCTTAACATCTATTTATGTATAATTTTGAAGCCACCTTTCTATGTTCAAAGTATACATGTACTGAACTCTACTTTCGTCAAGACATTGCTGTATACACATTCAAGATGTGTTTAAAGAAAGTCCTACTTTTATTGGCATTAGTGGACAGTATGATAAGTCATGAAGACTATAAGTACAGCCATTGTGATAGTTAATATTGAGTGTCAACTTGATTGGATTGAAGGATGTAAAGTATTGTCCTGGGTGCATCTGTGAGGGTATTGCCAAAGGAGATTAACACTTGAGTCAGTGGACTGAGAGAGGCAGACCCATCCTCAATTTGGGTGGACACCATCTATTCAGTTGCCAGCATGTCTAGAATAAAGCTGGCAGAAGTTGGAAGGATTTGACTGGCTGAGTCTTCCGGCCTTCATCTTTCTCTCGTGCTGGATGCTCCCTGCCCTCGAACATCAGACTCCAAGTTCTTCAGTTTTTGGACTCTTGGACTTACACCAGTTGTTTGCCAGGGGCTACCGGGCCTTCAGCCACAGACTGAAGGCTGCACTGTTGGCTTCCCTGCTTTTGAGATTTTGAGACTCGAACTGGCTTCCTTGCTCCTCAGTTTACAGAAGGCCTATTGTGGGACTTCATCTTGTGATCATGTGAGTCAACACTCCTTAATAAACTTCCCTTCATATGTACATCTATCCTACTAGTCCTGTCCCTCTAGGGAACCCTGAATGATACAGTTGTGATCCCTCTGTGATATGGTTTGGCTCTGTGTCCCCACCCAAATCTCATTGTAATTTCCACATATTGAGTATTGAGGGAGGACCCTGGTGGGAGGTGACTGGATCACAAGGGTGGTTTCACCCATGCTGTTCTCATGATAGTGAGGAAGTTCTCACGAGATCTGATGGTTTTAAAAGTGGCAGTTTCCCCTGTGCTCTCTCTTTCCTGCCACCATGTAAGACATGCCTTGCATCCCCTTCACCTGATGATCTGAGGTGGAACAATTTCATCCCGAAACTATTACCATCTTGTCCCTTGTCCATATATGGAAAAATTGTCTTCCACGGAACTGGTCTCTGGTGCCAAAAAAGTTGCGGACCTCTGGGTTAAAGAAATAAAAAAGATTCCTTACTCTATAAATCATGATTCTATGCTTATATATTTTCAGAATTACATTTTGTGAACTTTTCTTAAAGTGCTATAAAATTTAAGAATAATGAGGAGGTAAATTCTTTCTTATAAACTTAAACATACCTATTGGACAGGCAATTAAGTCTCATTGATCTTCCTAAATATATTTACAATAATCATCTTTGTACCAACATATATCCTATTCTTTATATAATGTTTCAATGAACTTTCCTATAGATATATTTGGTCACCCTTTCTGGCATCTTTCTTCTTCTTCTTCTTTTTTTTTTTTTTTTTTGTCGAGCAATCTCCGCCCACTGCAACTTCCAGCTCCCGGGTTCGCGCCATTCTCCTGCCTCAGCCTCCCGAGTAGCTGGGACTACAGGCACCCGCCACCAAGCCCGACTAATTTTTTTGTATGTTTTAGTAGAGACGGGGTTTCACCGAGTTAGCCAGGATGGTCTCAATCTACTGATCTCGTGATCCAACCGCCTCGGCGTCCCAAAGCGCTGGGATTAGAGGCGTGAGCCACTGCGCCCGGCCTGTCTTTCTTCTTACGAAATGCAAGCAAGTTGCTGTCTGTGCTGCTTCTGCGACCCTGTACAGCTGGATAGATGGGACACTAATACAAGGATTAGTCCTGATTTTGCTAAGAAATGTTTAACTTTCATCATTTGGAAAATTATTTTTAACACTACTTGGTGATGACAACTCCACATTTCTTCTGAAATATGTTTGTCCCACTGAAAGCTAAACATCTTCAATAATAGGCTTGTGTATTGCTTGACAGCAGAGAGTGTAACTTTTCTTTTTGATAACACTTGGCATAATTCCTAGGATGCAATAGGTTCTTTATAGTATTTGTGAACTAATGAAACAGTTTTAACTATTTTGTATTTATTGGGTGTGATCCGTAAGTCTCAGGTTTTCCTGTTGGTGTGGCTGTTTATTATCCAATGATATAAAATATGTCCAGTTTGGAAAGGAACCACTGGTGGTGCATTTTGCAAATGAGCCACTCCTAAAATATTTTAACAAATATTTATTTCTTCCTTCTAGGTTAAACTCAAATGTTATTTCTTCCAGAAAGCATTTTAAAGACAGAATCAATCATTTATGTCTATCTTTCTAGCAAACTGAAAGTGTGATAGAATCTGTACGTTGAACATAATTTACGTGGCTTTCTCTTTTGCCTTTCTGGACTACATTCCATTGAAGAGATCCTTCTAGTTTGATGTAGATTAAGACTTCTTCCTGAAGAAGACTGAAGTAATATTAAGTATTCAAGAACAGAATTTTCAGTAAGTTAATTGGTTTTTCAGTGATTGGGAATTCAGTGTTCAAATTCCATTATATCTATTGTTAGCATAGACTTGGGAGCCTCATCCATAGACTTTTCCATAAGGGTTCTAGATAGAAAGAGGATAGAGAAAAAGCCTGTCCCTTTCCGGTCCTGTAGAAATGTTGCAGGAAAAACAGAGACGGGAGAATGTGATGAACAGATTCATTCTTTCTGTGAGTAAAGATATCACTGAGAGCAGAATGAGATTTTGCCCCTGTCCCCCAACCCTATCCTCATTTGAGACCCTGGGTATGCAGGCCCTCTCATACTTTTCCTTGTATCATCCTGGCTTGGACTCAGCCGTAGCAGCTGAGTGTTAAAATTTTAAAAGCACAGCCTGAAATTTTATATTTCCAATTCACTCTTACCCTTTCCTGTGTATTATAGGCCCCAGGGTAGCTAAGAGTCTGACTGGCAGCTTGCCAAAACTTGGCAGTGTAGTAGAGTGTTTCTGTGCTGGACCACCTAGGCTGGTACTCAGCTTAGTATTTATAGCAATGATATGAGCGAATGTGAAGCTGAACCTGCTAGGGGAATAATACTGGCACATTGTAGAGGCTGAAAGAATGGTTCACAATTTCCTTGCTCAGATTCCAGTGTTGAAGGACCACAGAGCACCCAGAAAACAGGCAATTGGAAACATTAATGGGAGACTGGAGGATCCAGACTTCTTCACTAAAGGAACCTCCCCTATCCCTGTCACCCTTATCCCACACCCACTTGCTGTATTGGAGAAGAACCTGGGAGGTGGTACAAAAGGGTGAGAAATCTGAGAGATTGAAAACAGCTTCCTGGAGTTACTGAATATTACCAAAATATATTTTTTCACTTGTTATTTTGGACTAAGTTTTAAATTGGATTGGACCATGAGTTAATGCTTCTCCCAAGAAACCACAGATGGGGCCTCTTGAAGGAGAGCAGATCAGCTATAGACAAAAATAAAGAAACTGTATATTCTCTAAGAATTACATTTTATAACTCAGCTTTACACTTTAATTGAAGTAAGTTGAAATTTATTCTCCTCAAATGTTTAATTTATGCATCTATTCGTTCTTTTCATATTCTTATGCACCTATCTCTGTATTAGTCTGCTAGGGCTGCCATAATGAAATTATAAGTCTGAGTGGCTTAAACTACAGAAATTTATTATTGTACAGTTATGGAGGCTGAAAGTCCAAGATCAAGGTTCTGGCAGGGTTGGTATCTGGTGAGGCCTCTCTCCTTGGCTTGTAGATGACTATTGCTCATTGTGTCCTCACATGGGCTGTTGTCTGTGTGCACACACTTCTGGTATCTTTTCTGCTTTTTATAAGGACACCAGCCTTATGGGATTAGGGTCCTACTCTTATGAACTCATTTAACCTTAATTATCTCCTTGAAAACCCTATCTCCAAATACACAGTTCATTAAAGGATGGGGCTTCAACATACAAATTTGGATGGGGTGTGGGGGACAATTCAGTCAATAACTCTGTTCATCCCTCATTTTATATTCATACTCTCTAGCATGGTGACTGACACATAGTAGGTGCTTAATCAATGAGGAATATACACAGAGGAAAGTAACATATGTACAAAAGTAGTATGATGTGGCAATTCAAGGCACAGAATTTTGAGACTATGGTTCAAGTTCCAGCTCTACCTGTGATCCAGACCCAGTTTCTATATCTGTAAAGCAGCATAATAATAACTTCTCTCCTATAGAATTGTAAATAGATTAAATGAGCATCTGGTAAATTGTAGATGCTCAATAAATGTTACTTGTGATTATTATTTAGCTGTGCTTCATTTTATCAGCCTATTCTCACTTGCACATCAGTTAAAGCTAACACCTGTATTTTCTGGTAAGCAGGATGCAAGCATCCTAGGTTGTAATCAAGAGCTGCAGACATGGGAATAGAGTGAACATGTCATGGAAATGTCGTCCTGGGCAATTGTTCTCCAGGGATGGTTTCAGTCTGCTTGGAGGCGATATTTTGGCCCTCAGGATGGTAATATTCTTAGTGTTTTCAGGCAAAGTTAGGCTGAATTAATTTTAGAGCTGACCCACTTACATATTTTTTACTTTAGACTACAGCAGCTGAACAGCTAAATTGGACAATTTACAAACTATATTATGGCTTATGTGGGCCAGGCCACTCTTGAAATAGGACCAAGAGGCCTGAGAGTCCAAGTGAGTGGTTGCATGACAGATTCAAAATATCAATTAAATCCTTAACTCTTGGTCTTCTGCTGCAAATTTAGCAATTTGTAGGGGAAGGAAAGAGAACATGCTACATTCTTACTGGGGAATCACAAACAGAAACAGAAAAATCAAATCTAGAATGTCAGAGAATAGTTATTGAATAAAGAGAAATTAAGGCAAATTTCAATTACACTGAACTATATGTACTTGCTAAACTTAGATGTTAAAAAATGTGAACTTATTTGGTAAACTTACAGGCTCTTCAGTTCAGAGTTTAGGCAGGTATAGGACTCTTTCTTTCTGTCTGTCTTTCTTTCTTTCTTTCTTTTTTTTTGGTGTGTTGGGGCTGGGGGGTGGAGTCCCACTCTGTCGCCCAGGCTGGAGTGTGGAGTGCAGTGGCTCAAGCTCAGCTCACTGTAACCTCTGCTTCCCAGGTTCAAGTGATTCTCCTGCCTCAGCCTCCCCAGTACTTGAGATTATAGGCATGTGCTACCATGCCCAGTTAATTTCTCATAGTTTTAGTAGAGACAGGGTTTCACCATGTTGGCCAGGCTGGGCTTGAACTCGTGACCTAAAATGATCCACCCACCTCAGCCTCCCACAGTGCTGGGATTACAGGTGTGAGCCACCATATCCAGCTGATATAGGACTCATTCTTAACCTCCAAACAGTATTTGTAAAATCTTTTACCATTTCCACGATGAATCTTTATGAAAAACTTCTTTGAACTAAAATAATCTCTTTTCTCCAAACTCCCAATTAACACTTTATCTGTACCCTTCATATGTCACTTTTATCATTCAGTGCAATATGGTTTGTTTTGCCTCTTTCATCCTCCTCACTCTGCTGCCTTCCTTGAAGTCAAGAGTTGCAACCAACTTATCTTTGTATCTGTTGCAGTCATGTGCGTGAAGTCTTCCACATACTAGGTGCTGAATAAAAATAAATTAAATCCAATGTCACCAGCATCTATGTAGACTGCATTCCCGGTTTCCTACTATTATGTAAGATTCCATTAAAATATTTTTCCTACTGAGTTGGATTTGTGCTTACATTTTTTCTCAACGGTACTCAAAGTAGCAACTATCTGTCAGTTTTACTTTGTATGAAAATAAAACGTCTTTGCCATTCCGGCTCTTACATTTGAGATTTAATCTTACATTTTAATTATTCACCTAAGCTCTTGTTTTGAAGGATAAATGAAATGAGGTGTTTTCAAATCAGGCCAAAGCTATCATTGGTACCTATGAAACAACACATATAATCTATTATATTGATAACAGGTCAGGGCACTATTTTAATATAGGAAAGGTAGCCAGCACCTATCAATTACTGTGACTAAGTATAACTGAAAGTGTGAAATAAATACTGCTTATGAGTTAAATTATGTTAATTGTTTTGATACTTAGACATAGGCGTAGCCTTGTTTTTGATGATTTTTGTTCATTTAATGTGAAATAATTCCAAGATGTTGGCCCACCATTCTCACTGGAGAAGTTAGTTTCTTGACCACTGTATTAAAGATTATGGATTTCTCCTTTACTCTTCCTTTAGTTTAAACATTTATAAAAGTATTTGATACTATTATAATGTTTCTAAGAGAAGTTACAGACCTTTGCTTCAAAGTGAATAATTTTAGTCTTTTTAAAGTTGGACAATATTAATCATGTTATTTACTTTTATGTGTACAATATCTAATATCTTTACATTTCCTTCTAAGTATAGTAGTTCTTGGGATATTGGACATTTAGGAATTATATGGTTCTATAATGTAAAGATATTAGAATTTTGTCTTATCAGCCAAACTAAAGAATAATATTACTTCATAGTCTAGGGTTTATTTATTGGCAAATACTTTCTTCCTGTCAAAATTCTATAAGAATCTGATTTGATTTTCTAAGCCTATTAAAAATAATAGGCAAGTCAATAATAATTTAGTGAACAGCTTCTTTCCACTACAGCCTCTTTCACATAAAATGAGAACTTTCATTTGGCCACTTATTGGAAGATTAATAAAGTCCTAATCTATTGACATAGAATCAACATATACTGCTGTACCTTGGCCTTGTTATTTTATCTAGAGCAAGGATATGTTATCATGTGAAAAGATTTTTAAGTATATTTATTTTTAAATTAATGGATAAGCCTTTCTATTCAACCAATGGTTAGCTATAGATGTGACAATCTAAGGTTGCCAAGATTTGGGTAAATAGTGAATACTGGGGCCAAAAACCCTGAAGATATAAAAATATTCCTTGGTGTTTATCAATAATATTGAACTAATGTCTGAATATGGAGCACATTTCAATAGCATGCTGCTAGTAATAGTTCTGCATAGTTCTTCTAATACAGGAAAAGAAAAATTTTCTTCAAGGACATGTTCATGATTATTGAAATATATTGGCTACTTATTATCTATATTGTCTGAGAAACATTTTCAAAATACTTTTTATATAGACAAATCCTTAATCACTAATGATTTATAGAGCAAATTGGATAAAAGTACTTTTAATGATAAAACAAAAATTCTATAATTCAAAATGGAAGCATAGATACCATTCAAAATTAAAATTACTGAAAAACTAATACAAAAGTTTTTGCAAGTACAGGCTGTTTTTATCCTTAATGGAGAAATCATGAGATAATTCACATCTTTATTTTAATATCAGTATCTCACATCCTTTATTTAACTTTGAAAAATATCTTTGAAAACTAAAATCATATCAGTTCTCAACTTTGTGTTTTTATAACTGTTAAAAATATTATGTTACTTGTAAGCTTGATGAAACATTTTGTGAGTTTTAATTTATACTAGTTGTAAGGTTCTATTTGCCTATTGTGCATGACTCTTTAGTTGTTTTTTTTTAAGGTAGGTGAATTAAATGTGTAAAAGGCAGAATTAATACCAAATGACTCTAGAACACCAACGTTCAACTTTGCACTTTCTTGAGTCCTACCTTGCTTTTAGTCCCTATTCTATTTTCAGTTCTGTCTTTGTTCTTATGACATATTTCGAACTCTATAAAGAACTTCTACATAAACACCTTATAGGGAGTCCATGCATGGAGCATGCCTGCTACATCCTGGGCAAATAGAGCCCACTGTAATTACCTCTGTTTTATAATGGATGAAACTGAGATGCAGAAAGGTTAAGCCATTTGTGAGAAACCACATAGAAGTAAGCATTCTTTGAGATGGAGATAGAAACCTTTAATCAAGAGGAGGTTAAAATGTCGCGATTCCACATCTGAAATAGATGGTCTGAAATGGCAGATTCTTAAGAGAGAATAATTAAAGGAGTTGATGCCTCATTGTCTTTAACGATATTCCTTGCTGTTCCATCAAACCATTGAATAGATAAGAGGTGAGCAATAAGTTTCAAGCTGATCTTTTGTGTAGCCAGATAATTTAGACAAAAGCTCATAGGGATGATGTGGTAAATTCACCTACCCGGTGGTAAATTCACCTACACATCATAGGGATGATGTGTAGTAAATTCATCTACCTGGCTTCCAAATGCCTCAAGTTTCAGGAAAGGGTGAATGAGTAACATCTAGACACATGGAGCAGAACAAAATGATTCTGTATATTCTGGTTTCATTTCTGAAACTTGCATTGTCAAACCACAGACCATGTATGCTGTGATGATTGTAGTGGTTTGAACGTTGGAGACAAAGATTGATATGCCACTTCTGAATCTTAGAATGGGCAAATGAACTTTATTCATATTTTATTTTCATTTCACCTATGCTGAGAATACTTAACCTATAATTATATAATATGAGATGGTTAATCCTCATTCTTTACTGCAATGATTATAATTTCCACTGTTTGAAGAGTAGAAGAAAATTTCACATTCCAAGTAGGCTAGAACATAATTTTCAGACCCTTTACCCCATGTCTGGGGAAGTTCTGGATCAAAAAATTTGTGACAAACCTTCCCTACCCTGATTTAAATTCTGATTAGTCTCCTGGGGAAAGGAAATAGGCCATTCCTAAATTTAAAATATTTACAATCAGGTGGAAGTAGTGACAGTGTGTATTTATCACATCTCCTCTAATGGTTCTAATTCTCTCATATCAAGTTTTAACAGATTATTTCCCTCATATCTTCATATTTTATATAAAACTATACTTGAAAAAATGATCTAATGTTATTTTATTTGTTCATGGGATTTTAACTGTTTTCCTTTGTACCTGTTTGTTCTTTAAAATTCATCTTTCTCTTTTTTACTTTTTGAGAAGTCTATATAAAACGTGATGCAAAGTTATTCTTTAAGGCTTCTCATATAAATGAGTATATAAGCCTCATATATATGAGACCTTTTTATGGTGGCTATTTAGCTATTCTTTTAAAGGAGTTCTTTGAAAAGAAGTAAAGCACTCTCCTTTAGACTCTAGTGTAGACAGTGGAAAAATCACTTCCAAGAGGGGATGAGCAGAGAAATTATGACATAACTGTGTGGTAGGAATCCCTTACCAACTGAGGGATCATCTTTGGATATTCTCATTATCTTGGAATGTGGTAATGATCCTTGTTTGCTTTGCTTGAATTAAAAGAACAGATTCTACTTCCCTTCAGGAGACTTGCCTGATTTTCAGAGTTGGATTTTGTGAGTCCATCCAATCTTAAGTGTGGGTACCATAAACATATCTGGAAATGGCCGGGCACAGTGGCTCACACCTCTAATCCCAGCATTTTGGGAGGCCAAGGCAGGAGGATTGCTAGAAGCCAGAAGTTTAAGACCAGCCTGGTCAACATGGCAAGACTCTATCTCTATAAAAAATAAATAAATTAGTCAGGTAAGGTGGCTCATCCCTATAGGAATAGCTACTCGTCCGGCTGAGGCAGGAGTATCACTTGAGCCCAGGAATTTGGGCTCAATTACAGTGAGCTATGACCACATCACTGCACTCCAGTGCAGCTTGGGTGACAGGGTGAGACTTGTTTAAAAAAAAAAAATCTAGAAAAGAAGGGTCTAGCTGCTAATGTTTAAGAGGGCACCTTCAGGAGAGGCACAGGGACACATTTTAAGGAGTTTTCTTAATTATTCAAATTAAAATTAAATGTCTACTTATCAAGTTCAAGGAAAAAGGCCATTGGATTATGAGCCAGCTGACCAAATTCTGGCTTTGCCTATGCTGCAAGTGCAGTAAAAAGAGGAGGGAAAAAACTGTCTTCTTCTCTGTAGGCCTTCTTTTTACAATAAAATGACACAGAGAATCTAAATGCTCTCTAGAATCCCTTTCAGTTAAAATATGTTCTAGTATACAAATGTCTACTGGTAAGGCTGTATTCTGGAGATGTGAGAAACATGGTATCATGGAAACACTTTTCCAGATTTTTAATAAGCAGTTCTCACTTTAGTATATCTATAAATAATAGAGAAAATTAAGCTTAAACTTTGAGCCAATCCTACAGTATTATGCAAGTAGTATTATACTGTCTAATCCATCTAATCTGGACCTGGTGATACCTATGATTATATCTTCATTGCCTGTTCGTTGGTCATGCAGACTGCATGACAACAGCGAGGCACCATTTGTCATGGCAATCCATGGTATAAATGCCATTAATCAGCAAAGTTCAATGTGATGCATTTTTGATGTAGGCAGATGACCTAAATGGTGTGTAGAAAGCTAACTATTACAATTTTAAAAATTAGAATGTCACAGGTTGGTAAAGTTTAAAGGAAGTAAAAGGAAGAACTGTAATTATTGTATCTAAAAATATTTGTCTAATTCAGAATGGAGAAGTTATATAAGCTAAATTTTCTTTTATAAATTCTGGTTCCTTTGAGGGCACAGAAACTTCCTCAATCATTTTCTAGGTACAGGACCTGTCATAAGAATATCGATAAGTATTTACTGAATTAAATTTCATAGAATGGAAGTTTTTAGAATCAATCAGTAGGCTAGTCCCAACATATATATGTACACACACACTGAAAAAATAGGCACAATTCAATATACAGGTTCTATTACAGTATAATAAACTCTGTGGGCCGTAGAGTTAGAATTACAAAATTAAAAATGCCTTGGAGATATTCTAATTATTTTATGCTAACATTTTTATAATGAAATAACATAACTGGAAATCATGTTTTCATTCTCTGAGAGCTAGAGATGAGAACGAGTTTCATATTTAACATTTCTGAGGGAATTATTAAATTAAAATAAGTTTAAATTCCAGAATTATAGAAAGAATAGTATCAGTTTTTTTTGTTTTTTGTTTTTTGTTTTTTTGTATTCCTACGTCTTTACCCTTTCAACTTCTAGGTACTTATTTTTTATATAGTTATTTTGGTTGTGGTGTGGGAGTACATGGGAGTGTGTTTTTCAGACAAGCTGATAGAATTTGGGGATGGAAGATGGAAAAATTAGGAGTTAATGGTCTTTACTGAAGTAAGATATAATAATTACAAAAATTAAAAACAAATCTTTTCGTTCTTGTTCAATACAAATTGATGGGGAGTGGCCAAGATGGCTGACTAGAAGCAGCTAGTGTGCATGGCTCTCACAAAGAGGAGAAGAAGAGGCAAGTAAATACAGCAGCTTCAACTGAAACATCTAGGTACTCACATTGGGACTAATCAAGTAAACAATTTGACCCATGGATAATGGAAAAAAGCAAGGCAGGAAGATGGCCCATGATATGGTTTGGCTCTGTGAACCCACCCAAATATCATCTCAAATTGCAATCCACATAATCCCTACATGTTGAGGGTGGGACCGGGTGGGAGGTGATTGGTGGTTTCCCCTATGCTGTTCTTATGATAGTGAGTGAGTTCTCATGAGATCTGATAGTTTTATAAGGGGCTCTTCCCCCGTCACTCATTTCTGTGTCTCTCAACTGCCACCATGTAAGACATCCCTTTGCTACTCCTTTGCCTTCCACCATGATTGTAAGTTTCCTGAGGCCTCCACAGCCATGCTGAACTGTGAGTCAATTAGAACTCATTTTTAATAAATTACCCAGACTCAGGCAGTTCTTTATACCACTATGAAAATGGACTAACACAGTAAATTGGTACCAGGAGTGAGGTGCTGCTAAAAAAGGTATTTGAACATGTGGAAGCAACTTTGAAACTGGGTAACAGGAAGAAGTTGGAACAGCTTGGAGGGCTCAGAAGAAGACAGAGAGATGTGGAAAGGTTTGGAACTTCCTAGAGACTTGTTGAATAGTTTTGACCAAAATGCTGATCGTGATATGGACGATGAAATCCAGGCTGAGGTAGTATCAGATGGAGATGAACTTAGTGGGAACTGGAGCAAAAGTCCCTCTTGCTATACTTTAGCAGAGAGACTGGCAGCATTTTGCCCCAGCCCTAGAGATCTGTGGAAGTTTGAACTCGAGAGACATGATTTAGAATACCTGGAAGAAGAAATTTCTAAGCAGCAAAGGATTCAAGAGGTGACAGAACATAAAAGTTTGGAAAATGTGCAGCCTGATGATGCAATAGAAAAGAAAAACCTATTTTCTGGAAAGAAATTCAAACCAGCTGCAGAAATTTGCATAAGTAGCAAGGAGCCAAATGTTAAGAGCCAAAACAATGGGGAAAATGTCTCCAGGGTATGTCAGAGACCTTCACAGGAGAGCTTCTTTCATCACAGGCCCAGGGTTCTAGGAGGGAAAAAAAATGGTTTTGTGGGTGAGGCCCAGGGTCTTATTGCTTTGTGCAGTCTGAGGACTTGGTGCCCTGCATCCCAGCCATGGCTAAAAGGGGTCAAGGTACAGATTAGGCCATTGCTTCAGAGGGTACAAGCCTCAAGCCTTGGCAGCTTCCACGTGGTGTTGGTCCTGCGGATGCACAGAAGTCAAGAACTGAGGTTTGGGAACCTCCACCTAGATTCCAGAGAGTGTATGGAAATGTCTGGCTGTCTAGGCAGAAGTGTGGTGCAGGGGTGGGGCCCTCATGTAGAACTGGTAGGGCAGTATGGAAGGGAAATGTGGGGTTGGAGGCCCCAGAGTCCCCACTGGGGCACTGCCTAGTGGAGCTGTGAGAAGAGGGCCACCATCCACCAGACCCCTCAATGGTAGATCTACCAACAGCTTGCACTGTGCCTCTGGAGAATCTTCAGACACTCAATGCCAGCTCATGAAGGCAGCCAGGAGCAGAAGTGTACCCTGCAAAGCCACAGGGTTGGAGCTGGCTAAGATCATGGGAGCCCATCTCTTATAGCGGCATGTCTCACATGTGAGATATGGAGTTAATGAGGTCAGACTACTACTTTTTAAATTGGTTTCCTGATCCTGATCTCATTTTGGAGCTTTAAGATTTAATAACTGCCCTGTTGGATTTTGGACTTGCATGGGGCCTGTAGCCCCTTTGTTTTGGCCAATTTATCTCATTTGGAAAGGGAGCATTTATCCAATGCCTGTACCCCTATTGTATCTAGGAAATAACTAGCTTGCTTTTGATTTTACAGGCTCTTAGGCAGAAGGGACTTGCTTTGTGTCAGATGAAACTTTGGAATATAGACTTTTGAGTTAGTGCTGAAATGGGTTAAGGCTTTGGGGGACTGTTGAGAAGGCATGATTGGTTTCAAAATGTGAAAAGACATGAGATTTGGGAGGGGCCAGAGGCAGAATGATATGGTTTGGCTCTGGGTCCCTACCCAAAGCACATCTTGAATTGTAATCCCTATAATCCCCAAAGATTGAGGGTGGGACCTGGTGGGAGGTAATTGGATCATGGGGGCAATTTCCCCCATGCTGTTCTGATGATAGTGAGTGAGTTCTCATGAAATCTGATGGTTTTATAAGATGCTATTCCCCCTTCACTCATTTACTCTGTCTCTCATTTGCTGCCATGTAAGATTTGCCTTTGCTACTCTTTTGCCTTCTGCCATGATTATAAGTTTCCTGAGGCCTCCACAGACATTTGGAACTGTTAGTCATTTACAACTATTTTTCTTATAAATTACCCAATCTCAGGCAGTTCTTTGTAGCAGCATGGAAACTGAATAATACAGCCCACCTGGGAGCAACACAGAGCCAAGGGAACATCCTCCACCCAGGGAAGTACTAAGTGGATGTACGATCCTGGGATCCCATGCTTCTCCCATGGATCTTTGCAACTCTTGGGCCAGGAGATCCTCTCATGGACCTAATCCACCAGGGCTTTCCGTCTGACACACAGAGCTATGTACAGTCTCTGCAGAGCAGCCACTCAGGCATGCATGGAGACCTGGGAACCTTAGATACTTTAGCTTTCTAGGATTCCCAGTGAAAGCAGCTGCAACTCAGCCAAAGCAGGAGGTTTAGAACCCTATACATACCCCTAGGAAAGAGGCTGAATCCAGAGAGCTGAGCAGTGGCAGTCTGTGGGCCCCATTTACATGACACCTCACAGAATAAGACCCACTGTCTTGGAGTTCCAGCCAGCCACTTACAGCAGTGTTACACCTCCCTAAGATAGAGCTCCTGGGGGAGGGGCACGCCAACCCCTGCAGTTTGGGTGACTTATCTGTTCTGGCCTTCAGGCTTTAGAGAGTTCAAGCCAACCATGGGCAGCGGGGATTCTCCAGCACAGCACAGCTGCTCTACAATCTCTGTCAGCCAGAAAATACCAGCAGGGGTTGCCGGAGACCTCAGTTGGGAGGTCCTGCCCAGTGAGGAAGAACAGGATTGGGGACCCTCTTAAAGAAGCATTTTGGCCAAGTTTATGTAGGCACAGCTGCCCTACATAAATGTTGCCAGCCTGATTTTTTAAGTGGGTTCCTGATCCCATTCCTCATCACTGGGTGGAGCCTCCCAACCAGGATCTCCAGCTACCCCTAGTGGTATTCTCTGGCTGACAGAAGTTTCAGGTTCGTTGAGATGGCACTCCCAGGGGCTGGGGTGGGCTAACAACTTTGCAGTTTGGGTGACTTATCTGTTCTGCCCTTCAGGCTTTGGAGAGTCCAAATTGACCATGGGTAGAAGGGATGCCCCAGTACAGCATAGCCGCTCTATAAAAACATGGCCACAATGCTTCTTTAAGTTAGTCCCTGATCCTGTTCCTCCTCATTGGGCAGGACCTCCCATCTGGGGCCTCCAGCCTCTCCTGCCAGTATTCTGCGGCCTACAGAGATTTGGAAAACTCCTTGGGATGGAGCTTCCAGAGGAAGGGGTGGGCCGCCATCTTTGCTGTTTGGGCAACTTAGCTGTTCTAGCCTTTGGGCTTTAGAGAATCCAAGCTGACCAGGAGTGGAAGTGGTACCCCATCACAGCACAGCTGCCCTACATAAATGTGGCCAGAATGAGTTTTAAATGGGTCCCTGATCCCGTTCCTCATCACTGGGTAGGGCCTCCCAACCAGGGTCTCTGGCTGCCCCTGCTGGTATTCTATGGCTGACAGAGGTTTCAGGCCTCTCTGAAATGGAGCTCTCAGGTGCTGGAGTGTGCCACCATCTGTACTGTTTGGGTGACTTAACTGTTTCACCCTTCAGGCTTTGGACAGTCCAAGGTGACTGGGGACTGAAGCAGATCCCCAGCACAGCACAGCTTCTCTACAAAAATGTGGTCAGACTTCTTTTAAAACTGGGTTCCTGATCTTGTTCCTTGCCACTGTGTGATACCTGCCAGCTGGGGTCTCCAGCCACCTCCTACAGGTCTGTTCAGACTGGAAACAGGTTTGTACATCCCTGGGACAGAGCTCCCAGAGGGAGGGGCAGGCTGCCATCTTTGCTGTTTTTCAGCCTTCACTGGTGACACTTTCAGGTACTAGAAAATCTGAGGTGACTAGGGACTGGAGTGGACTCCCAGCATACTGCAGTAGCCCTATGAAAAAATGGCCAGACTCTTACATTGGTGCCCATTCCCATATTTCCTCACTGGGCAGGTTCTCCAGGTCTGGGCCTGTAGCCACCCCCTGCCAGAGCTATTGTGCCAGTAGCAATTAAGCAACTCCCTGGAAAGAGCCTCCAGAGGCAACTGAAAGCCTCTCTGCCACTGTCTCTGCAGTGGAACTATCCTTGCTACGCTCAGACTAACAAAGGAGCAAAGACCATAAGCTTCTCATCCATACCTCGAACAGTCAATGCAAGGAGAGGAGGCCAGCCTGTCTCCCATGGGTCCTAAACACCCCCATTACTTGTTACCAGACAGGGAACTCCTGGCTTCAGCCCACAACACAGGCCCTCCATCCTGACCAATTGCTGACCCATATCTCTCTGGAATGGAGCCCCAGGAGTCAAGCCAGCTGATGTGGAGACCAGAAGCTTTGGTGTAGGAGAGTCTGTAGTGGAGTGTGGCCAGGGTCAATTATCCTTCTAGGCTCAACTTACTCCCATAAGACTTTAGTCCTAGGGGAATTGTCAGATCTGATCTCTGTGGGGTAGTCTTGAACATCAGATGGGGCTGGTCCAACCTGATGGTTGGTCTGCTGGCCTCACTTGGGGCACCAGCATGGCCACGTCTGCTTACAGGGCAGTCTCAGGTGCCCTGGGGGCCCACACTATAGCTTCTGTGTCTGTGGACCTCACCTGATTGGTGGAGAGCTGGTTAGCTTTCTTTGAGCCCATGGCAATTCCCCACATTATTTTGCTGGCATGTATCTGCATGGGTGGGTTTTGCATCACTTGCCCCACCAGCATGTGTGAGTGCAGTGTGCCCTTCCACCCCCACCAACCACCATTACAGATGGAGCCTTGATGCACAGAGCCAGGAAGCCCCACCCCTGTCAGCACTTCACCCTTGTTCTGACATTGTGCAGAGATCAGGGGATCTTCCCACACCCTGAGTGATCTTCCCACACCCTGAGTGACACTCCTGCTTGCTGGAGACAGACAAGGCACCCAGACCTTCACTGGCCAGCCCCCTGCCCCAAGCTGACACTGCCTCCAGTGCAACAGTGCACACAATCATCAGGAGGGGACCCTTGCTTCCCCGCCAGCTGCCTTGCCTCCACCACTGTGGTGAACACCTGCAGGGAGGCAGGCACCCCTGTATCTGCTAGCACTCTGCTGCAGCTGCCACACTTTGGTCCCCCCAGTGCAGCGGACTCCAAACCTCAAGAAGCCAGAAAATAATGATAGGGCCCAATACACGTTTCCCAGAGTAACAGCACATAGTCCGGGAGCCTGGAGCTGATGATTGGCCCCCTAAAATCTCCCAGAAATGAAGCCAGTCAGTTGATTCTTCCTCATACTACAATAAAACCTTCAATGTCACCAAATGGAATAAAAGAAAATAAAAAGAAAAGAAACTCATCCAAAGGTCAGCAACTTTAAAGGTTGAAGGTAGATAAGCCCACAAAGATGAGAAAGAATCAGCACAAGATCACTGAAAACTCAGAAAGTCAGAGTGCCATCTTTCTTATAAATGGCCACATAAAATCTCCAGCAAGGGTTTGGAACTAGGCTGACACTGAGATGGCTGCAATAACAGAAATATAATTCAGAATATGGATAGAAATGAAGTTCACTGAGCTACAGGAGTACACTATAACCCAATGCAAGGAAGGTAAAAATTATGATAAAATATTACAGAAGCTGACAGACAAAATAGCCAGTATAGAGAGGAATGTAACCAATCTAGTAGAGCCAATAAACACACTACAAGAATTTCATAATGCAATCATAATTATGAACATCAGAATAGACCAAATGGAGAAAGAATCTCAGAGCTTGAAAACTGGCTTGCTGAAATGACATAGACAGAGAAGAACAGAGAAAAAAGAATCAAAAGGAATGAACAGAACCTCTGAGAAATATGGGATTATGTAAAGAGACTTAATCTGCGACTGACTGGTGTGCCTGAAAGAGATAGGGATAATGGAACCAACTTGGAAAACATATTGCAGAATATCTTCCATGAGAACTTCTTCAACCTAGTTAGAAAAGCCAATATTCAAATTCAGGAAATGCAGAGAGCCCCAGTAAGACACTCCACAAAATCATCCCCAAGACATGTAATGCTCAGATTATCCAAGGTCAAAGTGAAATAAAAAATGTTAAAGGCAGACAGAAAGAAAGGCCAGGTCACCTACAAAGGGAAGCCCATCAGACTCACAATGAACCTCTTGGATAAAACCCTACAAGCCAGAAGAAATTAGGGACCAATATTCAAAAGGAAATTTTAACAAATAATTTCTTATCCATTCAAACTAAACTTTATAAGTGAAGGAGAAAGAAGATCCTTTTCAGGCAAGCAAATGCTGAAGAAATTTGTTACCATCAGAACTCCCTTAAAAGAACTCCTGAAGGAAGCACTAAATATGGAAAGGAAAGGCCATTACCAGTCACTACAAAAGCACAATGAAGTACACAGACCATTGTGTACGTAAACAGTGTGGTTTATCATAGTGCTGCAAAATACCTAGCTAACATCATGATGACAGACTCAAATCCACACATATCAATAGTAACTTTAAATGTAAATTGGCTAAATGCCCTAATTAAAAGACACATAGTGGGAAGCTGTATAAATAACCAAGACCCATTAGTATGCTGTTTTCAAGAGACTCATCTCACATGCAGTGACAAACATAGACTTAAAATAAAGGGATGGTAAAAAAAAAATACAAATAAGTGGAAAACAAACAAACAAAAAAGCATTAATTGCGATCCTAGTTTTGACAAAAGAGACTTTAAACCAGCAAAGATCAAAAAAGAAAAAGGTTTCAATTCAATAAGAAAGTCTAATTATTCTAAATAAATATGCACCCAACACAGGAGCACCCAGCTTCACAAAGCAAGTTTATAGAGATCTTCAGAGAGACTTAGACTCTCACATAATAATAGTGGGAGACTTCAACACTCCACTGATAGCACTGGACAGATCATCAAGGCAGAAAAATAACAAAGATATTCAGGACCTGAACTCAGCACTAGATCAAATAGACCTGATAATTAGCTACAGAAGTCGCCACACAAAATCAACAGAATTTACATTCTTCTTGTCAACACATGGCACATATTTAAAATCAATATCATAATCAGGAGCAAAACACTCCTTAGCAAATGCAAAAGAATTGAAATATCAACAAACAATCTTTTGGACAACAGTGCAATAAAATTAGAAATCAAGACTAAGAAAATCACTCAAAGTGATACAATTACATGGAAATTAAATAACCTACTCCTGAGTAACTCTTGGGTAAATGATAAAAGTAAGGCCAAAATCAAAAAGTTCCTTGAAACTAACGAGAACGAAGATATAACATACCAGCAATTCTAGGACAAATCTAAGGCAGTGTTAAGAGGAAAATTTATAGCACTAAATGCCCATATCAAAAAGTTAAAATGATTTCAACTTAACAAGCTAACATCACAACTAGAACAAGAGAACCAAGAGCAAACCAACCCGAAAGCTAGCAAAAGACAAGAAATAACCACAATCAGAGCTGAACTGAAGGAGATTGAGACATAAAATCATTTAAAAGGTCAGGAAATCCAAGAGCTGTTTTTTTTTAAATAAAGAAAACAGACCACTAGCTAGACTAATAAAAAAGAAAAGAGAGAAGCTCTAAATAAACAAAATTGGAAATTACAAGGGGGACATTACCACTGACACTACAGAAATACAAACAACCATTAGAGAATATTGCAAATACCTCTATGCACATAAACTAGAAAATCTAGAAGAAATGGATAAATTCCTGGACACATACACCCTTCCAAGACTGAACCAGGAAGAAATTGAGTCCCAGAGCCAATAATCAGCTCTGAAATTAGGCAGTAATAAATAGCCCACCAACCAAAAAATGAAATAAAAAGCCCAAGAGGAGATGGATTTACAGCTGAAATCTACCAGATGTGTAAGGAAGAGTTGGTACCATTTCTACTGAAACTGTTCCAAAAATTGAGAAAGGACTCCTCCTTAACTCATTCTATGAAGCCAGAATCATCCTGATATCAAAACCTGGCAGAGATACCACAAAAAAGAAGACTTTGGTCCAATATCCTTGATGAATATTTATGCAAAGTGCTCAACAAAACCCTGGCAAACCAAATCCAGTGGCACATCAAAAAGCTTATCCACCATGATCAAGTATGCTTTATCCCTGGGATGCAAGACTGGTTCAACACCTACAAATAATCAATAAATGTGATTTATCACATACACAGAACCAAAGACAAAAACCACATAATGATCTCAATAGATGCAGAAAAAGCTTTTGGTAAAATTCAACATTGATTTCTGTTAAAAACTCTCTACAAACTAGGTATTAAAGGAACACATCTCAAAATAATAGGAGCCATATACGAAAAACTTACAGCCAACATCATACTGAATGGGCAAAAGCTGGAAGCATTCCCCTTGAAAACCAGCAGAAGTCAAGAATGTTCTCTCTCACCACCCATATTCAACACAGTATTGGAAGTCCCAGCCAGAGAAATCAGGCAAGAGGGAGAAATAAAGGGCATCAAAATAGGAAAAGGGGAAGTCAAACTATCACTGTTTGCAGATAACATAATCTTATATCTACAAAATCCCATAGTATCAGCACAAAGGCTTCTTAAGCTAATAAACAACTTCAGAAAAGTCTCAGCATACCAAATCAATGTGCAGAAATCACTAGCATTCCTATACATTGACAACAGTCAAACCAAGAGCCAAATCAGGAATGAACTCCCATTCACAACTGCCACAAAAAGAATAAAATACCTAGGAATACAGCTGACTAGGGAGGTAAAAGGCCTCTACAAGGAGAACTACAAGCCACTGCTCAAATAAATCAGAGATGACACAAACAAATGGAAAAACATCCCACGCTCATGGATAGAAGTATTACTATCATTAAAATGGCCATGTTCCCCAAAGCAATTTATAGATTTACTGCTATTCATATTAAACTCCCACTGAAATTCTTTACAGAACTAGAGAAAACAATTTTAAAATTCATATGGAACCAAAAAAGAGCCCAAATAGCCAAGGCAATCATAAGCAAACAAACAAACAAATAAACAAACAAACAAAAAAAAACAAAGCTAGAGGCATCGCACTACTCAACTTAAAACTATACTTCAGGGATACAGTAACCAAAACAGCATGATAGTGGCACAAAGAAATGCATATAGACCAATGGAACAGAGTAGAGAATTCAGAAATAAGACTGTACACCTACAACTAATTTTCAAAAAACTTAACAAAAATAAATGGGGAAAGGATTCCCTATTAAATAAATGGTTATGGGATAACTGGCTAGCCATATGCAGAAGATTAAAACTGGACCATTTCCATATACAAAAATTAACTCAAGGTGGATTAAAGACTTAAACGTAAACCCAGAATTATAAAAATCCTGCAAGACAACCTAGACAATACTATTCCGGACATAAGCATAAGCAAAGATTTCATGACAAAGTTGCCAAAAGCGATTGCAAAAAATGCAAAAATTGACACGTGGGATCTAATTAAGCCAAAGAGTTTCTGCACAGCAAAAGAAACTCTCAACAGAGTAAACAGACAACCTACAGAATGAGAGAAAATTTTTGCAAAATATGCATTGGACAAAGGTCTAATATCTAGCATCTAAAAGGAACTTAAACTTACAAAATAAAAACACCCTCATCAAAAAGTGGGCAAAGGACATGAACAGACACTTTTCAAAAGAAGACATACATATGGCCAGCAATTATATGAAAAAACTCAGCATCACCGATCATTCAAGAAATGCAAATCGAAACCATAATGAGATACCATCTCACACCAGTCAGAATGGTTATTATCAGAATGTCAAAAAATAATGAATGCTGGCA
Source organism: Homo sapiens (assembly GCF_000001405.40). Lineage (NCBI taxonomy): Eukaryota > Metazoa > Chordata > Mammalia > Primates > Hominidae > Homo > Homo sapiens. Next base: position 113,950,472 of record NC_000007.14, on the reverse strand, counting down.
AGGTTGTGGAGAAAAAAGAATGCTTGTACACTGTTGGTAGCAATGTAAATTAGTTTGGTAATTGTGGAAAACATTGTGGGGTGATTCTTTGAAGACCTAAAGATGAAAATACCATTTGACTCAGCAATCCCATTATGGAGTATATACCCAAAGAAATATAAACCAGTCTGTTATAGAGACACAAGCATGTGTTTGTTCATTGCAGCACTATTCACAGTAGCAAAGACATGGAATCAACCTAAATTCCCATGAATGTTAGACTGGATAAAGAAAATGTGATACATATTCACCATGGAATGCTATGCACCTATAAAAAAGAACAAGATTTATTCCTTTGCAGGAAGATGAATAGAGGTTGAAGCCATTATCCTTAGCAAATTAACATAGGAACAGAAAACCAAATACTGCATGTTCTTACTTACAAGTCAGAGCTAAATGATAAGAACACAGGGACACACATAGTGGGCAACAACACACACTGGGGCCTTTTAGATGGTGGAGGGTGGAAGAAGGCAGATAATCAGGAAAAATAACGAATGGGTAGTAGGCTTAATACTTAGGTGATGAAATGATCTGTACAACAAACCCTCATGATGCAAGTTTACCTATGTAACAAACCTGCACATGTACCCCTGAAAAAAATCTCTAAGTGATGTTAATTTTTTCTTTAAAATCTCTATGAGACTTGTCCTGTGGCTTATAATATGGTGTAGCTTGGAGAATGTTTCATTTGCTAATGAGATGAATGCATATAATACAGTTCTTGGGTAAAATGTTCTGTAAATATCTGTTAGGTCCACTTTCTCTAGAGTGCAGTTTAGGTGCAGTGTCTCTCAGTTGACTCTCTCCCTGGAAGACCTGTCTATCTGTCAATAGAGTGTTGAAGACCCCACTATTATTGTGTTGCTGTCTACCTCTTTTCTTATGTCTAGTTATAATCGTTTTATGAATCTGAGAGCTCCAGATTTAGGTGCATATATATTTACGGTTGTTGTATCTTCTTGCTGAATTGATCTTTGTATCATTATATAATGACCTTCTTTGTCTTTTTCTACTGTTGTTGCTTTAAGGTCTGTTTTATCTGACGTAAGATTAGCTATGCCTGCTTGCTTTAGGTTTCTGTTTGCATGGAATATATTTTCCACCCTTTTATATTGAGTCTATAACAATCCTTATGTGCCTCTTGAAGACAACATATTTGGCTTGTAATTTTTTATCCATTCTGCCATTTAAGTGGAACATTTAGACTATTTACATGCAATGCTAATATTGAGATGTGGAAAGTTTTAATAATAGACTAGACCGAATAGAAGAGAGCATTTCAGAACTCAAAGACAGAGGCTTTCAAATTAACCAAATCAGATAAAAATAAATAAAAAATAATTAAAAGAATTAACAATGTCTCCAAGAAATATGGGATTATGTAAAATGGCCAAAACCTAGGAGTCACCATCTATCCTTAAAGCAATAACATTAAAAAAGGATAAATAAGGTCATTAATAGTAAGATGTGAGATTTTATGTTCCTGTCATTTTGATGATTGTTACCTACTTTTTCTTTTCTTCACTGTGTTATTCTTTTATAGGATCTGTGAATTTTATGCTCTTAAGAGTTTCTGTTCTGGTGCATACCAATCTTTTGTTTCAAGGGATAAAACTCCTTTCAGCATTTTTTTTCGTGGGGTTGTTCTTGTAGTGACAAATTCCCCCAGCATATGCTTGTCTGAGAAAGACTTTATTTATCCTTCATTTATAAAACTCAGTTTTGCTGGTTATAAAATTTTGGGCTGACAGTTATTCTGTTGAAGGAGACTAAATTTAGAACCGCAGTCCCTTCCGGCTTATAAGGCTTCTGCTGAGAAGTCTGCTGTTAGTCTGATAGGTTTTCTTTTACAGGTTACCTGATGGTTTTTTCTCACTACTATTATAATTCTTTCCTTCACATTAACTTTAGATAGCCTGATGACTGTATACCTTGGTGATGTCCTTTTTGCAGTGAATTTCCCAAGAGTTCTTTGAGCTTTTCATATTTTGATGTCTAAATCACAAACAAAACCACGAAAGTTTTCCAAACTTTTTTTTATTTTTTCTTCTCCCTTCAGAACACCAGTGATTCCTAGGTTTTGCCATTTTACATAATCTGATGTTTCTTGGAGACAGTATTCACTTCTTTTAATTCTTTGTTCTTTATTTTTGTCTGATTGGGTTAATTTGAAGGCTTTTGTCTTTGAGCTCTGAAATTCTCTCTTCTACTTGGTCTAGTCTATTATTAAAACTTTCCACTGCATTTTCTAATTCCCTAAGTGTGTCTTTTGTTTCCGAAAGTTATGATTGTTTTGTATTTAAAAATCTCTATTTATATTTTTTTCAATCACATACTGAATTATTTTTAAAATTTCTTTATGTTAGTTTTCACCTTTCTCTTGTATCTCCTTGAGTAACTTGTTAATCATCTTTTTGAATTCTTTATCTGGTATTTTGAAGATTTCATCTTGGTTTGAATTCATTGCTAGACAGTTAGTGTAATTTCAGGGTCTATTATAGAACCATGTTTTGTCATATTGCCAGAATCATTTTTTGGTTCCGTCTTATTCAGGTAGACTATTTCTTCTAATTTTTTTTTAATTTACTTATTTATTTTAATATATTATTTATTTTTTATTTCCATAGGTTTTTGAAGAACAAGTGGTGTTTGTTTACATGAGTAAGTTCTTTAGTGGTGCTTTGTGAGATTTTGGTGTACCCATCACCCAAGTAGTATACATTGTACTGAATTTGTAGTATTTTATCTCTTACCCCTCTTCCACCCTTTAACTAGTACATCCACTATTGAACACAGTGTGGAGATTCCTTAAAGTACTAAAAATAGAACTACCATGTGATGCAGCCATCTCACTACTAGGTGTCTACCCAGAGGAAAAGAAGTCACTATATGAAAAAGATGCTTGTACTCACATGTTTATAGCAGTACAAATTGCAATTGCAAAATGTGGAACCAGCCCAAATGCCCATCAATCAATGAGTGGAGAGAGACACTGTGATATATATATATGAATTTCTGGCTGATATGTATAATCACAACTTCTCTATCTCTCTCTCAATATATACATATACATATATATACATATATAGACACATATATACATATATACACACACGTATACATATATACACACATATATACGTATATATACACATCATATATACATACATATACATATATACACACACACACACCATGGAGTACTATTCAGCCATAAAAAGGAACAAAATAATGGCATTTTCAGCAACCTGGATGGAACTGGAGATCATTATTCTGAAGTGAAGTAACTCAGAAATGGAAAAGCAAACATTCTATGTTCTCATCCACAAGTTGGAGCTAAGCTATGAGGGTGCAAAGGCATAAGAATGATACTATGGACTTCAGGAAGTTGAATTTATTTTTGAGTTGACTGTGCTCTTTTTTATTTTTTATTTTTCCCCTTAAGGATTTGACTTTAATGTTTGTAGTTTATTGAAACCTAATTCAGCTCTGGGTGATTTCAGTGGTACAGACTCTGTATGAGTTCTTTGGTTATAGAGTCTTTGTGTGATGGTTTTCTCAGATTCTGATTGCAGTAGTGACGTACTCAGTGTGTTCACTGTCTCCTGTCGGGCCAGAATGGCAAAGGTTTCATGAAGCTTATCTCATTCCCCAGTGGTATTCACTTTTTAAATTATTTTCCCCCCAATATTTTATTCACTTGGTTGAACAGTTCAGGCTTCAGTCCAAAGGAGGTGTCCACAGATAAAAACTAGCTGCAGCTAAATCAGGTGGATAAATGCAATGCCCAATGGTGGGCAGAGGTTCCAGCCTTGACAAAGATAGCTGGGGGAGCTCTCAGTGAAACACACTAAGATCTTTTTAGGGGGAAAAGAGAGAGCAACTTCAGCTCTCTTACCCGGCCATCAGGAATGCAATCCACCTCCCAGTCCCACTCCTGATCCAGTGTTCCAGATATTCAGATAAGACAGATACCTCTTTTCATCTGCAGGAATGCTATTGTTCCATGTAGAGAGAGATTGTGGCTGTCCTTCATGCAAGCCTGAACCTGGAGGGCACTCCTCCTGTGGGGATGCAGTCACCTTGAAGTGTTCCAGAGAGACTGTTGCAAATGCACCTATGCTGAGCTCCCATGGGAGAAGACCCAGCTAAATCTGTAGTGGTAGATGAGTTGGAGAAGAAGCCCCCTCCTCCAAGACTCTTCATGAGCCCCAGGGCTGCCTGACTGTTGGGGTAGAGCTGCAGACTTTCCCCACTGAGCCAAGCATTGCACCTGTGCCTCTGCTGAAAGAAACTTCTCATAAACTAAAAGTTCTGGGACTCAAGGCCTGCAATCTAGATTCTTTTGTCCTACAAGGTGCTCCCTTGATGTGATGCACCTTCTCTTTCCCTTGGAGTAGGAGTCCCTGAGGGCCAGAGAACTACAAATCCTTCTGCTCCTCTGGGTCTAACTGCCTAGTGGGGCTGCCATGCTTCAGACTGGTACTGGGGAATGTATGCAAGGAACCTAGTGATCTGACCTGTCTGGTAGTCTTCTAGCAGTGGGTACCAGCGTGCACTCTTGATGGGGGTAGCAGGGGACTGATGTAGACTCTGTGAGATTTCCTTGGTTATAAATAGCCTTAGAGTGTTGGCTTTCTCAACTGCCAGCTGTAGTAGTAATGTATTGGTCACATGGACAGACTCATGACCTTCTGGTTAGCCAGGGTGATGCAGGCAATGGTGATAGCCGAGGTCATGCAAAAGTTTTCTCCTTCTTGGGCTTTGTGTTATTCTGCCTGCAGATGCTATACTGGATTGTGTTGGCTGGCCTCCAGCCAGGAGCTGGTACTTGCAAAAAAGCACCAGCTGCACTGGTAGTGGTAGGATTTGTGCTTGCCTTATGTCCTTGCCAGAGAAGGTACTCTGATTTCTCAGGCAATGGGTAGGGCATTGGGGTTACCCAAAGTCCACATCCTTTGTGATAAACTACCAGGGCAGGTGGAGGGACAAAGCCAGGTTGGGGCTAGGTCAGGTAAGTCTGTGGTTTGGCTTCCCATGTGTGGGTACAAGCAGCAGCTCCAGTGGGGATGGGAGGGCATTTCTCTGGCTACTGGGGTAATGTTCCAGGGAGAAGTGCAGCTACATCTGCTGTACAAAAGAACCTGCACAGGGAAGTGGGTGTAGCAGGCAGCAGTAAGCCCCACCCAGCTCCCATGTACTTGGCAAGGCAGGTTTTACACCCACAGTGTTCCAGCAGCTAGCTGGGTTCCAGGCAGCCTACACTCAGAACTCAAAACTGCCCCAGGCCACAAGCCTTCCCTACTAAGACAGAAGCCACAGCTTTCAGGCCATGCCACTCCTGGTTTGCCTGCAAAGCAGGGATGCCCAGCTTCTGCAGCTGCGGCTACAGCATAATTCCCACTTGCCCCTTGGTTCTGGCCAAAGGGCCAGAACCCACTGGCCCTTGTTCCCACTCAAGATTATATCACAAATCTCATTTGGGAGCTTCTCTCAACTTGTGAATGCCACCTGAGTTAGCTGGCTGAGTTCCATGAGGTCCCTTGTGAGACAGGATCAGGAATCGCTTCCCTTCTTCTCTGCTGGAGTCTGGGAGTGCATGCAAAGCACACCCTGATGCTGCTCCTCCTGTACTCCTCACTGGTCACTACATCAGCTCTGGTTCTAGGTAGGGTTAAGGGATTCCCCAATGTCCTGGATTGCTAAGGTTTCCCAGTGGGATGGTATATTACAGAGACAGTCTCTCCCCATCTCACACTCTGGAGACTCACAGTTTTCCACCTGATTTATGGTATAGTCTCTGTCACTTTTTTTCAAAGGGTCTGTGGTTTCTTTCACTTTTCCTGTTAAGTTCCTGTGTTGCTTCTTGGAAAAAAGTTCACAACATGAATCTCTATACACTATTTTGTCTTCCCAAGTGAGAGAGGCATGCTAACAAAGTCTCCAATCCAACATCTTGGGAAAAAAAAAGCTTCTGCCCATTTTCGAACTGGGTTATTTGATTTTTTATTCTGATGAGTTTTAAACAGTATAGATTCTATTTATGAGTCCTTTATCAAATATATTATTAACAAATATTTTATCATTTTCTGTAGGTGGTCTTTTAACTTTCTTGATAATGTCCTTTGCAGCACAAAGGTTTTTAATTCTGATGAAGTTCATTTTCTTAATCACTTGTAATTTTGGAGACCTAGATAAGTAAGTATTGTCTACTCCAAACTTGTGAAGATTTATGCCTATATTTCTGTCTATAAGTTTTATAGTTTTAGCTCCTACATTTACATCTTTTATTCCATTTTAGGTTAATTTTTATATATGGTGGGAGGTGGGAACAACTTAATTATTTTGCATGTGGATATCCAGTTTATTCAGAATTAAATGCTATACTTAATGATAAAATACTAAAATCTTTTTACCAGGTGAGAACTTAAACAAGGATGCTATTTATAGGAACTACTATTGAATATTGCATTATAACTTTTTGCCAGTGCAATAAAGCAGTAAAATAACACAAAAGATATACAGATGAGAAATTGGGAAATGAACTATAATTATTCACAAAAGACATGATATTGTACACATAAAATGCAAAATAAACTGTAAATAAACTATAATTAATAAACTTAGTAAGATCATTAGATTCAAAATCAGTATGGAAAAATCAATTGTATTTCTATATAGAAACAAAAGGAAACTTTGAAAATGATATGTTTCAAAGGACACTATTTATACTAGCATAACAAATAAAATACCAGAGAATTAATCTAATGATAGATGTGCAAGGGCCGCTCAATGCAATCTACCAAATATTATTGAGATAAATTTTAAAAAGCTAGAATATGAAGGGCTACACAATGTTTACCAACTGGAAAGGTCAATAATGTAAAAATGTCAATTATTTTCAAATTCTCTTCAAATATTCTATAGGCTCAATGTATTCTAAATAAAATCCTAGCAGTGTTTTTGGGAGAAATTAAGCTGATTCTAAAATTTAAATGGAATTGCAAAGGGCCAAGAAAATTGGGAAGGATAATGAACCTGGAATTTACTTTGCAGGATGTTAAGGCTTATAATAAAATCTCAGTAATGAAAAATATAATCCTAGCATAAAATAATAAAATAAACCAGTTGTTCAGACTGTAGATTATAGTCTACAAAAACAGATCTCCACACATATGGTCATTAATTTTATTATAAAGGTGACACCACAGTATATTGAAAAAGAGTAATCTTTTCATTAAATGCTGTTGGATAAATTGGATATCCTTATGCAACAATAATATATCTTGATTCTCCTACTTCATATCATACCTACAGATTAATTCCACATGGACTATAGATCTAAATGTGAAAGAAAAATTTTAAAGGATTTACATAAAGAACTAGCAAGTGGACTCCATTTAAAATAAGTTCTATTCATCAAAAAACACCATTCAGATTGGAAAGACAAGTCACATAATTGGAGAAATAATCACATATAGACATGTACACATGTCTTTGTGAAAGAGGACGCATATCACATATATTTGTGTCCATCTGCCTGACTTGAACTTCACTTTAAAAAAGCAAAAGATCCAAATGGCCAAAAAAAAAAAAAAGGTGCTCAAATTTATTAGACATTAGGAAAACTCAAATGAGAGACAAAGGATACCACTGTAAAACGACCAGAGTGACAAGCAAAAATATTGACAATATCAAGTGTTTGCAAGGATATGGTGCAACTCAAATTCTTACACATTGCTGTTGGGGAGTGAAAATTTGTCCCACCACTTTAGAAAACTGTTTGACAGTATCTACTAAAGCATATACCTAATGGAAATGTGTATACTTGTGCATTAAATGACATATGCAAGAATGTTCAGAGAACCATCTTTAGAGGTTCAAACCTAGAAACAAACCATAATGTTTATTATGAGCTATTTATAAAATAGAATATTATACATCAAGAAAAATAGGTGAATCTCACAAACATAGTATATTAGGGAGAAAAGCTAGACACTGAAGAGTTTGGCTCTATTTATATGAAGTTCAAAACCTGCAATACTAATCAGTATTTTTCTACCAATGATAGAAGTTAGGACAGTGGTGCACTTTAAGGGGCACCTATTAGGAATAGACATAAAATGAATTTCTGGCTGAAGTGCCGATGATCTCTTTTTTGAACTAGTTGAGGGTTATATAACTAAGTTTACTTTTGAAAAATTCACTGAGCTGTATATTTATGGGTTGTGAATTGTTCTGTATGAAAGTAATACTTAAACATTTTGCAGCAGTTACAATAAATTTTTATGAAGACTTTGGTTGACACAATACATTCTTATGAGAATATCAAATGCTGCTTCTAAAACAAAAATAAAAATAAAACACAAAAACTAATACGCATTATGTTGTGGCACAAAATTAGAAAGAAGTTTTAATTAAAGTTTTTCAAAAATGAAAGGTGTTGCTGTATGCAGCAGTGAATTTGTTATCATTGGATGTACACAAGCTGAAGCATTCCTGTTAACATATCTTATAGGGAGGCTTTAAAATGTGAAGGTTGGACAAAATGACTTCCAAGCAGCTTTTCGACTCTAAGACTATATAACTTAAGTTGTATAATTCCACATAATATAAGTTCCCAAATGGGTTATACCACATAATTTGCCAAACACTGTTCATCAGTGAACAAATCACTTAAACTTTCAAACTGATTCCACTTGAAGGAACATATATTCCTCACTTCCTTCTATTTTTGACAACTTTTGTTACATGATTTAAAAATATATATGACTCAGCTACTGGGCTAAGAAAGAGATTATGCCTAGGGTTTTTTTTCTTTCTATTCTTAAGAAAAATCCAAAATAATCTAAAGATAGTTGACTGCTATAGTGGTAAAAGATGATTTGCCATAGGAAAATTTAGAAGGATGCTAAATATATCTATTCACTGTACGAGGAAGTACCTTAAAAAATTAAGGAAGTTACTATTTATTTCTCACCTGAATATTCAGATTATATATACATAATATGTATATGCCTTCATATTACATAGCAAAGATAATTTAATAACGGATACTGATTTAATTTTAGCTGAACAATAACTTTAGATGCATAAAAGGTACATACTGGCATACACTTTACTTTTAATTCATAGGACCAACTCCTCCTGATTGTTAAATAATGATTTTTATATATCAATAATAATCATCATCATCTGCAGATTCTAATTTTTTATTTTCTATCATTTTATTATAAAAATTTAAAGCATACAAACAATTTGAAAAAATTATACAGAGACATTCCTAAATTTTTGATTCAGGTACCTGGGCCAAGAATTTCATATACTCTACATAGTGAAATGTGGACATGCACAAACAATATACAATTTTAGATAATATTTTGGACCCTTTTTTTTCCATCTACAGACTCTGCAGGGTGTGCATATGCTAGATTACAAACTCCTGGCCTGGCAAACTAGTGAAATATAACATTTAGACAACTAGCTAATTTTTCTGGCTTTTTTATATTATTAAACATTATTAAGCATCCTACCCTGCATGCTAAATTCAGTCAATTCTTTAAATTGTTGCAGAGACATAAAGATTCATTATCACCCAAACTGTGCCAAGTACTGCATAAAGCATATGCATAATCTTTGAAACTTTTGGAGAAATTCATACTTATTGCTGAATTTTTACCTATATTAAGTAACCCAAATGACAGAAGATCCATAAAAAAATAAGTCACATATCTTACAATACTACCCTATAAACAGGTTGGAAAAAATGAAAATTTTTGTATGCTGATTTATGTAGGACCCCATAATAAAATCCCAGTAACTCTTAATTTTTCACAATCAAATTTTGTTTTCTTCCATGTCTTATGTTGTTTCATCCTATTTTGAACCATTTATTGAATTCTATGACAACAGGAAGGACTAACATGGACTAGTGGAAAAGTACATAGTGAAGAAGTTACATAATTGGTCTAGTGAAGAAGGCAAAAGTCTTTTAGCAATCTGTACTAATGGTGACAGTCTAAAGAAAACATATGCTTCTAAAATAGAGTAGTATAAAGCAAATCCAAAACAACTAAGCAATTCTTCTGCTCTTTTTTGGGTATACACATGTGGAGGGTCATCAATATCATGCATTGGGATTTACTCTCTTTAGTATGGAAAATATCTGATCTAAACAAAGAATAGAGATTTCTGTTTAAAAAATGCTTTGGAGATGGAGAATTGCCACGTATACCACACATGAATAACCATTTTGTAATGATTTAGAAGGTACTTCAAGATCTTATATTGTTGAACATTGATTTTTACTATATTATAGAAGTACAGAAATAGCAAGAAAAGGTATCATTAATAGACTGCTAGGAAGATGAGGGCTTATGTTAAATTCATTCATTCTGCCTGGTATCTATCCATTTACCCATCCATCTATGCAGTCATCGATCTATTGATCCATGGATGCATCCATTTATCCACACCATCCATTCATTCATTTACACACTATGGGATTTATGGGGATACAATGTTGCACAAAATAGATATTTTTTTTGTCATGGAAGTTTCAGAAAGAAAAATAACGTAATGGCTATACTAGATAACGGGATTTTAAGTAATCTTTTCCCTTGTAAATTTTTAACTGTGTAATTTTGACTGATACAGATATTTTTATTGTTTCAAAGCTTTCTATTAACTCATTTGATCCCTGTAGCATCCTTTTGAGGTAGTAACTATTAGTCTTCTTATTTTATGGTTGGGGGAATAAAAGCAGAGGAAAAGTGAATAATTACCTATGGTCATTCAGCTAATAAATAGAAGAAGCAGGATTTGAGCTTATGCAATGACTCTTCAGACACCGTGACACTGTGTTCTGAACCCCACAGCTATATTGTCTCTCAATATTAGAAGTATGTTAATACAGTCATCAATACTGCAATATTATCAGCAAGAATAACAATAATAATATATGCCACTTTTACTGCTTATAATAAACTTGTCACTATTGACAATTGCACTAGTTTAATCCTCCCAGTGATCAAATGAGTTAGGCATTATTGTGCTTCATTCATAGAATGAAAGATAAGGCACAGAGTGGTTTAATATCCTGCTCAAGATCAAACAGCTTATAAGAAAAAGAACAGGCATTTGAATCAGGTCTCTTATTCTAAAACCCAGATTCTATGCCAAGGAGCCATAAAAAAGAACAAGATCGTGCCATTTGCAGAAACATGGATGGAGCTAGAGGCCATAATCCTAAGTGAACTAAGGCAGGAACAGAAAACCAAATACTGCATGTTCTCACTTTTTTTTTTCTTTTTTTTTTTGAGATGGAGTTTCCCTCTTGTCACCCACGCTGGAGTGCAATGACATGATCTTGGCTCACTGCAACCTCCGCGTCCTGTGTTCAAGTGATTCTCCTGACTCAGCCTCCTGAGTAGCCAGGATTACAGGCATGCACCACCATGCCCAGCTAATTTTTGTATTTTTAGCAGAGATCGGTTTTCACTATGTTGGCCAGGCTGGTCTTGAACTCCTGACCTCAGGTGATCCAACCACCTCGGCCTCCCAAAGTGCTGGGATTACAGGCATGAGTCACCACTCCCAGCCCGCATGTTGTCACTTGTAAGTGGGAGCTAAACATTGAGTACACATGGACACAAAGAAGGGAACAACGGACACTGGTGCCTGCTTGAGGGTGGAGGGTAGGAGGAGAGAGGGAATCTAAAAACTACTGCTGGGCATGGTGGCTCACGCCTGTAATCTAGCACTTTGGGAGGCCAAGGTGGGCAGATCATGAGGTCAGGAGTTCGAGAACAGCCTGGCCAACATAGTGAAACCCCATCTCTACTAAAAATAATAAAAAAAAAATTAGTCGGGTATGGTGACAGATGCCTGTAGTCCCAGCTACTTGGAGGCTGAGGCAGAGAATCACTTGAACCCGGGAGGTGGAGGTTGCAGTGAGCCAAGATTGTGCCACTGCACTCCAGCCTGGGTAACAGAGTGAGACTCCATCTCAAAACAAACAAACAAACAAACAATCAAACAAACACAAAAAAACTACCTATCAGGTATTATGCTTATTATCTGGGTGATGAAACAATCTGTACACCAAATCCCCATGACACACAACTTACCTATAAAACAAACCTGGACCCTTGAACCAAAAATAAAAGTTAGAAGAAAGAAAGAAAGAAAAAAAGAAAAAAAAACCCCGCATTCCTGACCACTTGCTAAACTTCCAGCTAAATGTTTAATGAAATAAATATTGTGTATAGGCCGGGCGCAGTGGCTCATGCCTGTAATCCCAGCACTTTGGGAGACTGAGGCGGGCGGATCACGAGGTCAGGAGATCAAGACTATCCTGGCTAACACAGTGAAACCCCGTCTCTACTGAAAGTACAAAAAATTAGCCGGGTGTGGTGGCAGGTGCCCGTAGTCCCAGCTACTCAGGAGACTGAGGCAGGAGAATGGTATGAACCCAGGAGGTGGAGCTTGCAGTGAGCTGAGATTGCACCACTGCACTCCAGCCTGGGCGACAGTGCAAGACTCCATCTCAAAAATAATAATAATAATAATAATAATAAGTATTGTGTATAAAAAATATGACATACACTGGAACAACATGGCCAACTAGAGGCAGCCAGGTGGAACAGCTGCCACTAAGGGACTGGGACTACTGGTGCACTCCTAACAGATCTGCAGAGGGAAGGCACTGAGAGTGCAGGGAGGGAAGACACAGAAGCTGGGCTGAAGGGGAGGAAGCTGGGAACCCTGCAAGAGGCTATCTTGCACCGAGACTCCTACCTGGCCCCCACAGACTCTGGCGGAATAGGTGAGTTGAACTGGCAAGGAGCAACCTGCTCTCATTATAGAACTCTGGAATCCTGGAAAGAGGACACCCCTTGACCACCATGGACACTTGAGTTGGCAGGGAAAGCTGCTTAGAGAAGTCTTAGGGGTAGCACATCAGCCAATGCAGAGCCCCAAGGGTTTGGTGTGAGAGCATCTGTAATAAAGCATGGGCAGGAATTCCCATCCCCCTAGGCTCCACTTGCACCCATAGCAGACTTCAGTCCTGGGGAGACTGTCAGACCTAAGCTCTGCAGGGCAGTCTTGCTCATCAGACGACGCCAGTCCTACCTGAGCAATCCTTGGTGTGCTGGCCTCTTCCAGGGCCCCAGCCTGTCCATGCCTGCTTGCATTGCATCCTCAGGTGCCCTGGGGGCCCATTCATAGCTCCTAGGCTGGCAGACCATGCCTGACCAGCAGACAGCTCCAGCAGGGCAGCCAGCCTACAGGGTCATGCACCAGCCTGCCTGCTCCCTCCCCAACTGCAGCTTCCTTGGGGGCCCATGGCCACCCCCACATCACTTTGCTGGTGTGTGTGCACACACAAATTTTGCCTTCCCAGCCCTGCCAGCACATGTATGTGCATGCACCCTGCCTTGCCACTGCTGCCAGTGGAAATGCACTCTGTCCCTCCTTTCCTGCTGTACTGCCATTGCACTTGGAGCCTTGGTGGGCACAGAGCCTGACAGCCCCACCCCCACGAGCACCTCACGCCCACCAGTGCCCCACCCCTGTACCAACACTGCCACCAGGGTGAAACTAGGCACTGGAGAACAGCAGACACTCTCTCACCCTGAGTGGCCACCCCCAACTGCATTAATGCACAGAGAGGGCACACACAGGCCTGCATCTGCCACTGCTCTGCCCCTGTGCTAACACCACCACCAGTGTGACTATGTGCAAAGTTACCAGTGGGGACCATGAGAGCCATGCTATCTCCATTGCTGCTGTGAATGCAGGCATGGAGGAAGGCACCGCAGCACCTGCTAGCACCCTGCCACAGCTGATGAGCATGTACCTTGCTGTGTTGCCACTGCTGAGGCTGGCACATGTGAATGAGGACAGATCCTGCTGCCACCACCCTATGAAACACTTTGGCTGGATGGCACCCATCAGAGGGTAGTGGCCAGTGGTCCAGGAGCACCTTGGCTCCACTGGTGCAGAGGGTTCCTAACCTCAAGGAGATGGAGAAGGAAGTTGGGCCTGTTACAAGTCCTTCAGAGTTAAAGCATGCAGCCCAGGAGATGGGATCTGAATCTTGGTCCCTAAAATCTTCCAGAAACAAAGCCAGTCAACTGAACCCACCTTATACCACAATCAAACTCTCAAGATCATCAAATAGGATAAAATGAAAAAAAAAATCCAAAGGACAGCAACTTCAAAGATAGAAGGAACATCAGCCCACAAAGATGAGAATGAGCCAGTACAAGAACTCTGAAAACTCAAAAAGCAGACTGCATTCTTTCCTCTAAATGACCACACTACCTCTTTAGCAAGGGTTCTGAACTGGGCTGAGATGTCTGAAATGACAGATGGAATTCAGAATATAGATAGGAATGAAGACATTGAGATCCAGAAGTATGTTGAAACCTGATATGGTTTGGCTCTGTGTCTCCACTCAAATATCATCTTGAATTGCAATTCCCATGTGTCAAGAGAGGGACCTGGTGGGAGGTGATTGGAACATGGAGACAGTTTCCCCTATGCTGTTCTCATGATAGTGTGGGAGTTCTCATGAGATCTGATGGTTTTAAAAGTGTCAGTTTCCCCTGTGTGCTCTCTCTCTCCTGCTGCCATATAAGATGTTCTTTGCTTCTGCTTTGCCTTCTGCCATGATTGTAAGTTTCCTGAGGCCTCCTTAGCCATGTGAAACTGTAAGTCAATTAAACCTCTTTTCCTTATAAATTACCTAGTCTCATGTAGTATCTTTATAGCAGTGTGAGAGCAGACTAATACAGAACACATTCCAAGGAAGCCAAGAATCATGAAAAAATGATACAGGAGCTGACAAAAAAAAGAATGTAACTGATCCGACAGAGCTGATGAACACATTACAAGAATTTCATAATGCAAGTATTAATAATAGAACAGAGAACACTGAGAAAAGAATCTCAGAACTTAAAGACTGGCTTCCTAAAATAAGACAGCCAGACAAGAATAGAGAAAAAAGAATAAAAAGGAACAAACAAAACCTCCAAGAAATAGATGATTATGTAAACAGACCAAATCTATGACTCATTGATGTCCCTGAAGGAGATGGGGAGAATGAAACCAATTTGGAAAATACATTTCAGTATATTATCCAAGAGAACTTCTCCAACTTAGTTAGAGAGGCCAACATTCTAATTAAGGAAATGCAGAAAAACCCAATAACACCCTTCCTAAGGAGGCCATCCAGAAGACACATAATCATCAGATTCTCTAAGGTCAAAATGAAAGAAAAAATGGTAAAAGCAGCTACAGAGAAAGGTCAGTTTACCTACAAAGGGAAGCCCATCAGTCTAACAGAAGACCTGCCAGCAGAAACCCTACAAGCCAGAAGAGACTGGGGGCCAGTATTCAACATTCTTAAAGAAAAGAAATTCCAATGACTAACTTCATATCCAGCCAAACTAAGCTTCATAAGCAAAGGATAAATAAGATTGTTTTCAGACAATACAATGCTGAGGGAATTTGTTACCACCAGACCTGCCTTATAAGCAGTTCTGAAGAAAGCACTCAATATAGAAAGGAAAAACCATTAGCAGCCACTACAAGAACACATTTAAGTACACAGACCAGTGACACTAAAGCAACACACAAGTCTGCATAATAACCAAATAACATCATGATGACAGTATCAAATCCACACATATCAATACTAACCTTGAATTTAAATGTGCTAAATGCCCCTAATTAAAAGGCATGGAGTGACAGGCTGGATGAAGAACCAAGATCCATTGGTATGCTGTCATCAAGAAACCCATCTCACACGCAGTGACATGTGTAGGCTCAAAATAAAGGTATGAAAAAAAAATCTACCAAGCAAATGGAAAACAGAAAAAAGCATGGGTTGCAATCCTAATTTCAGACAAAATAGACTTTAAACCAACAAGAATTTAAAAAAAGAAGGCTGTTACATAATGGTAAATGGTTCAACTCAACAAGAAGAACTAACTATCTTAAATATATATGGATACAACACAGGAGCACCCACGTTTATAAAGCAAGTTCGTAGAAACCTTCAAAGACTTAGACTCCCACACAGTAGTGGGAGACTTCAACATTCCAGTGACAGTACTAGACAGATCAAGGCAGAAAATTAACAAAGATATTTAGGACTTGAACTCAGCACTGGTTCAAATGAACCTGATAGACATCTACAGAATTCTCCACCGCAAAACAGCAGAATATACATTCTTCTCCTCACCACAGGGAACATACTCTAAAATAGAACACATAATCAGACAAAATGCTCCTCAGCAAATGCAAAAGAACTGAAATAACAACCACTCTCTTAGACCACAGCAAAATAAAAGTAGAAATCAAGACTAAGAAATTCACTCAAAACCGTACAATTACTTGGGATTCAATAAACTGTCCCTGAATGACTTTTGAGTACATAATGAGATTAAGAAAGAAATCAAGAAGTTCTCTGAAACTAGTGAGACAAGACATGCAACATACCAGAATCTATGGGACACAGCTAAGGCAGCGTTAAAAGGGAAACTTGTAGTACTAAATGCCCACATTAAAATGTTAGAAAGATCTCAATTTAACAACCTAAAATCACAAGTAAAATAGCTATAGAACTGATTTGATTTGGCTGTCTCCCCTCCCAAATCTCATCTTGAATTGTAGCTCCAATAATTTCCATGTGTTGTAGGAGGTACCCTGTGGGAGATAACTGAATCATGGGGCCAGTTTCCCGCATACTGTTCTTGTGGTAGTGAATAAGTCTCACAATATTTGATGGTTTTATAAGGGGTTTCCCCTTTCACTTGGCTCCCATTCTGTCTTGTCTGCCACCATGTAAGACATAACTTTTGCCTTCCATCATGATTGTGGGGCCTCCCCAGCTATGGTTTTTCTTTATAAACTACCCAGTCTCAGTTATGTCTTTATCAGCAGCATGAAAATGGACTAATACAGTAAACTGGTACCAGGAGTGGGTGCTGCTGTAAAGATACCTGAAAATGTGAAAGTGATTTAGAACTAGGAAACAGGCACAGGGTGGAACAGTTTGGAGAGCTCAGAAGAAGACAGGAAAATGTAGAAAAGTTTGGAACTTCCTAGAGACTTGTTGAATGGCTTTGATCAAAATGCTGATAATGATATGGACAATTAAATCCAGGCTGAGGTGGTCTCAGATGAAGATGAGGTACTTGTTGGGAACTGGAGTAAAAGTGACTCTTGCTATGTTTTAGCAAAGAGACTGGCAGCATTTTGCCTTTGCCCTAGAGATTTGTGGAACTTTGAACTTGAGGGAGAGGATTTAGGTTATCTGGTGGAAGAAATATCTAAGCAGCAAAGCATTCAAGAGTTGACTTTGGGGTCAGGCACAGTGGCTCATGCCTATAATCCCAGCACTTTGGGAGGCTGAGGTGAGCAGATTATGAGTTCAAGAGATCAAGACCATCCTGGCCAACATGGTGAAACCCCATCTCTACTAAAAATACAAAAATTAGCTGGGTGTGGTGGCATGCACCTATAATCCCAGCTACTCAAGAGCCTGAGGCAGGAGAATCACTTGACCCAGGAGTCGGAGGTTTCAGTGAGCCAAGATTGCCACTGTATGCCAGCCTGGTGACAGAACAAGACTCCGTCTCAAAAAAAAAAAAAAAAGTTCACAAAATTTGCACCCTGATAATGTGATAGAAAAGAAAAACACATTTCATGAGGAGAAATTCAAACCAGCTACAGAAATTTGTATAACTAATGGGAAGCCAAATGTTAATCACTAAAACAATGGAGAAAATGTCTCCAGGGCATGTCAGAGACCTTTGTGGCAGCACCTTCCATCACAGGCCTGGAGGCCTAGGAGAAAAAAAATGATTTCATGGACCAGGGCAGTGCCCCCCTGTGGTTTGCAGCCTAGGAACTCAGTGCCCTGCATCCCAGTTGCTCTAGGCATCCCAGTTGCTCTAGGCTTACAAGGGGTGAAGGTATAGCTTGGGCCATGGCTTCAGAGGGTGCAAGTCCAAAGCCTTGGCATCTTCCATGTGGTGTTGAGCCTGTGGGTCCACAGAAGTCAATACTTGAGTTTTGGGAACCTTTGTCTAGATTTCAGAGGATGTACAGAATTGCCTGGATGTCCAGGCAGAAGTTTGCTGCAGGGGAGGGACCCTAATGGAATACCATTGCTAGAGCAGTGTGGAAGGGAAATGTGGGATCAGAGCCCCTACAAAGAGTCCCCACAGGGGCACTGTCTAGTGGAGCTGTGAGAAGAGGGCCACTATCCACCAGACCCCAGAATGATAGATCCACCAACAGCTTGCACCATGCATCTGGAAAAGCCACAGACACTCAACTCCAGCCTGTGAAAGCAGCCAGGAGGGAGGGCTATACCTTGGAAAGCCACAAGGACAGAGCTGCCCAAGACCAAGGGAATCCACCTCTTGGAACAATGTGACCTGGATGTGAGACATGAAGTCAAAGGGGATCATTTCAGAGCTTTAAGATTTAGCTGCCTCACTGGATTTTGGAATTGCATGGAGCCTGTAGCCTGTTAAATTGTGGCCAATTTCTCCTATTTGCAGTGGGTATATTTACCCAATGCTTGTAACCCCATTGTATCTTGTGAGTAACTAACTTGCTTTTGATTTTACAGGCTCATAGGTGGAATGGACTTGCCTTGTCCCAGATGAGACTTTGGACTGTGGACTTTTGAATTAATATTGAAATGAGTTAAGACTTTAGGGGACTGTTGGGAAGACATGACTGGTTTCGAAATGTGAGGACATGAGATTTGGGAGGGGCTAGGGCAGAATGATATGGTTTAGCTGTGTCCCTACCCAAATCTCATCTTGAATTATAGCTCCCATAATTCACACATATCATGGGAGGGACCACATTGGAGATAATTGAATAATGAAGGTGATTCACTACTACTGTCCTCATAGTAGTGAATTAGTCTCATTAGATCTATTTATTAGTCTGATGGTTTTATAAGGGGTTTCCCCTTTGCTTGGCTCTCATTCTCTTTTGTCTGCCACTGTTTAAGATGCTTTTCACCTTCCACCATGACTGTGAGGCTTAACTAGCCATGTGGAGCTGTGGGTCCATTAAACCTCTTTTTCTTAATAAATTACTCAGTCTTTGGTATGTTTTTATCAGCAACATGAAAATGGACTAATACAAGAACCAAGAGCAAACTAACTCCAAAGCTAGCAGAAGATAAAAAATGACCAAAATCAGAGCTGAACTGAAGGAGATTGAGACATGAAAAACCATTAAAAAGATCAACAAATCCAGGTGGATTTTTGAAGAAAATAATAAAATAGACAACTCTCTGGAAAAATAAAGAAGAAAAGAGAGAGGATACAAAGAAACAGAGCAGAAATGATGAAGGGGATATTACCATTGACCACACAGAAATACAAATAACCATTAGAGAATATTGTGAACACCTCTATGCCCACAAACTAGAAAACAGAAGAAACTGATAAATTCCTAGACACATACACCCTCCCAAGACTGAACCAGGAAGAAATTGAATCCCTGAATGGACCAGTAATGAGCTCCAAAATTAAATCAGTAATACATAGCCTGCCAACCAAAAAAGTCCATGACCAGATGTGTATTAGTCAGTTTTCATGTTGATGATAAAGACGTACACAAGACTGAGAAGAAAAAGAGGTTTAATTGGACTTACAGTTCTGCATGGCTGACGAGGTCTCAGAATCATGGAGGGAGGTGAAAGGCACTTCTTACATGGCAGCAGCACGAGAAAAATGAGGAAGAACCAAAAGCAGAGACTCCTGATATACCCATTAGATCTCATGAGACTTATTCACTATCACGAGAATAATACGGGTAAGACCGGCCCCCATGATTCAATAACTTCCTCCTGGGTCCCTCCCACAACATGTGGAAATTCTGGGAGATACAATTCAAGTTAAGATTTGGGTGGGGAGACAGCCAAACCATATCATTTTGCCCCTGGGCCCTCCAAATCTCATGTCTTCACATTTCAAACCAATCATGCCTTCCCAACAGTCCCCCAAAGCCTTAACTAATTTCAGCATTAACCCAAAAGTCCACAGTCCAAAGTTTCATATGAGACAAAGCAAGTCCCTTCTGCCTATGAGCCCATAAAATCAAAAGCAAGCTAGTTAGTTCCTAGATACATTGGGGATACAGGTATTGGGTAAATACTGCCATTACAAATGGGAGAAATTGGTCAAAACAAAGGGGTTACAGAGCCCATGCAAGTCTGAAATCCAGTGGGGCCATCAAATTTTAAAGCTCCAAAATGCTCTCCTTTGACTTCAGGTCTTACATCCAGGTCGTGCTGATGCAAGAGGTGGGTTCCCATGGTATTGGGCAGCTCTGCTGCTGTTGCTATGTAGGGTACAGCACCCCTCCAGGCTGCTTTCACAGGCTGGTGTTGAGTGTCTGTGTGGCTTTTCCAGGTGCACAGTGCAAGCTGTCAGTGGATCTATCATTCTGGGGTCTGGAGGACAGTGGCCCTCTTCTCACAGCTCCACGAGGCAATGCCCCAGTGGGGACTCTGTGTGGGGTCTCCAAACCTACATTTCCCTTCTGCACTGCCCTAGCAGCAGGTCACCATGAGGGCCCTGCCCCTGCAGCAAACTTTTGTCTGGGCATCCAGGCATTTCCATACATCTTCTGAGATTTAGGCAAAGGTTCCCAAACCTCAATTATTGACTTCTGTGTACCCACAGGTTCAACACCACATGGAAGCTGCCAAGGCTTGGGGCTTCTACCCTCTGAAGCTGCAGCCCAGGCTGTATGTTGGCCCCTTTCATCCATGGCTGGAGTGGCTGGGACACAGAGCACCAAGTCCCTAGGCTGCACACAGCACGGGGACCCTGGGCCCAGCCCACCAAACCACTTTTCTCCTGGGCCTCCGGGGCTGTGATGGGAAGGCGTGCTGTGAGGGTCTCTGACATGGCCTGGAGACATTTTCCCCATAGTCTTGGGGATTAACATTAGGCTCCTTGCTACTTATGCAAATTTCTGCAGCTGCCTTGAATTTCTCCCCAGAAAATGGTTTTTTTCTTTTCTGTTGCATAGTCAGGCTGCAAATTTTCCAAACTTTTATGCTCTGCTTCCCTTATAAAACTGAATGCCTTTAACAGCACCCAAGTCACATTTTCAATGCTTTGCTGCTTAGAAATTTCTTCTGCCAGATACCCTAAATCATCTCTCTCAAGTTCAAAGTTCCACCCTTCTCTAAGGCAGGGGCAATATGCTGCCAGTCTCTTCACTAAAACATAGCAAGAGTCACCTTTGCTCCAGTTCGCAACAAGTTTCTCATCTTTGTCTGAGACCAACTCAGCCTGGACCTTATTGTTTGTATTGCTATCAGCACTTTGGGCAAACCCATTCAAGAAGTCTCGAGGAAGTTCTGAATTTTCCCACATTTTCCTGTCTTCTTCCAAGCCCCCCAAACTGTTCCAACCAGTTCCAAAGTCACTTCCACATTTTGGGGTATATTTCAGCAGTGCCCCACTCAACTGGTACCAATTTACTATATTAGTCCCTTTTCACACTGCTGATAAAGACATATCTGAGACTGGAAAGAAAAAGAGGTTTAATTGGACTTACAGTTCCACATGGATGGGGAGGTCTCAGAATCATGGTAGGAGATGAAAGGCACTTCTTACACGGAGGTAGCAAGAGAAAAATAAGGAAGAAACAAAAGCAGAAACCCCTGATAAACCCATCAGATATCGTGAGACTTATTCACTATCATGAGAATAGCACTGGAAAGACTGGCCCCCGTGATTCAATTTACCTTCCACTGAGTCCCTCCCACAACACGTGGGAATTCTGGGAGATATAATTCAAGTTGAGATTTGGTTGGGGAAATAGCCAAACCATATCAAGATGGTTTTACAGCTGAATTCTACCAGATGTACAAAGAAGAAATTGTACCATTCCTGCTGAAACTATCCCAAACAGTTGAAGAGGAAGGACTCTCCCCTAATTCATTCTATGAGGCCAGCATTATCCTGATACCACAACCTTGCAGAGATACAACAATAAAAGAAAACTTCAAGCCAATATCCTTGATGAACATTGTTGCAAAACTTCTCAAAAAATGCTGACAAAGCAAATCCGGCAACACACCAAAAATCTTATCCACCATGATTGAGTAGGCTTTATTCCTGAGATACAAAGTTGGTTCAACATCTACAAATCAATATATGTGATCTAAACAGAACTAAAGTCAAAAACACATGATTATCTCAATAGATGCAGAAAAGACTTTCAATAAAATTTAACATCCCTTCATGTTAAAAACTATCAATAACGTAGGTATTGAAGGAATAAACCTCAAAATAATAAGAACCATCCATGACAAACCCAGAGCCAACATCACACTGAATGGGCATAAGCTGGAAGCATTCTTCTTGAAAACTGGCACAAGGCAAGGATGCCCTCTCTTGTCACTCCTATTCAATGTAGTATTGGAAATCCTGGCCAGGGCAATCAGGCAAGGGAGAGAAATAAAAGGCATCCAAATAGGAAGAGAAAAAGTCAAACTATCACTGTTTGCAGATGACATAACTCCATATCTAGAAAACCCCATAGTCTTGGCTCAAAAGCTCCTTCAGTTGATAAACAACTTTAGCAAAGTTTCAGGATATGAAATCAACAAACTATAATCACTAGTATTCCTATACACTGACAACAGTCATGACGAGAGCCAAATCAGAAATGTGATCCCATTTACAATGGCCACAAAAAGAATCAAATACCTAGGAATACAGCTAACCAGGAAGGTGAAAGGTCTCTATAATGAGAACTAAAAACCACTGCTCAAAGAAATCAGAGATGGCACAAACAAACAGAAAAACATTCCATGCTCATGGACAGGAAGAATCAATATTGTAAAAATGGCTGTATTGCCCAAAACAATTTACAGATTCAATGATATTTCTATCAACCTACCAATTACATTATTCACAGAATGAGAAAAAAACTATTTTAAAATTCACGTGCAACCAAAACAAAGCTCAAATAACCAAGGAAATCCTAAGTGAAAAGAACAAAGCTGGAGGCACCATGCTACCTGAAACTCTAGTATAGGGTCAAACTCTAGCATAGGGTCAAACGCTAGTATAGGGTTACAGTAACCAAAACAGCATGGTACTGGTACAAAAACAGACACATAGACCAATGGAACAGAAGAGAGCAGCCAGAAATAAGGCTGTACACCTAAAACCATCTGTTATTTGACAAAGCAGACAAAACAAGCAAGGGGGAAAGTACTATCTACTCAATAAATGGTGCTGGGATAACTGGCTAACCATATATGTAAGTTTGAAACTGGAAACTGGACCCCCTTCCTTACACCATATAAAACAATTAACTCAAGATGGATTAAAGACTTAAATGTAAAACTCCAAAGTATAAAAACCATGGAAGACAACCTAGGAAATACCATTCTGAACATAGAAACACTCTTTACATTTGTTTAAGTTCCTTACAGATGCTGAATGTTAGATCTTTATCAGATGCATAGTTTGAAAATATTTTCTCCCATTCTGTAGGTTACTCTGTTGATAGTTTCTTTTGCTGTGCAGAAGCTCTTAAGTTTAGTTAGGTCCCATCTGTCAATTGTTGCTTTTGTTGCAATTACTTTTGGTGTCCACTCTGGACAAAGATTTCATGACAAAGACACCAAAAGTAATTGCAACAAAAGCAACAGTTGACAAATGGGATCCAATTAAACTAAAGAGCTTCTGTATAGCAAAAGAAACTGTGACAGAGTAAACAGACAATCCACAGAATGGGAAAAATATTTTCAAACTATGCATCTGACAAAGGTTTAGTAAAGAACTTAAACAAATGTACAGAATAAAAGCAAACAACCCCATTAAAAAGTGGGCAAAGGACCTGAACAGACACTTTTCAAAAGAAGACATAACATGCAGCCAAGAAGAATATGAACAAAAGCTTAATATCACTGATCGTTAGAGAAATAAACATCAAACCCGCAATAAGAGAGCATCTCACACCAGTCAGAATGACTATTATTAAAAAGTAAAAAATAAAAGGTGCTGGCAAGGCTGTGGAGCAAAGGAAATGCTTATACACTGTTGGTGGGAGTGTAAATTAGTTCAACTATTGTGGAAAACAGTGTGGCAATTCCTCAAAGACCCAGAAACAGAAATATCATTCCACCCAGCAATACCATTACTGGGTACATACCCAAAGGAATATAAATTGTTCTATTACAATGATACATGCACACATATGTTTATTGCGGCACTGTTCACAATAGCAAAGACATGGGATCAGCATAAGTGCCCATCAATGGTAGACTGGATAAAGAAAATGTGGTACATATACATGATGGAATACTATGTAGCCATAGAAGAGAATGAGATCATGTCCTTTGCAGGAACATGGATAGAGCTGGAGGCCATTCTCCTTAGCAAACTAATTCAGGAACAGAAAACCAAATACTGCATGTACTCACTTATAAGTGGGAGCTAAAGGATGAGAACACATGGACACATAGAGGGAACAACACACACTGGGGCCTACCAGAGGGTGGGGTTTTGGAGGAGGGAGATCAGGAAAAATAACTAGTGAGTGCTAGGCTTAATACCTAGGTGACTAAAATCTGTATAACAAATCCCTATGACATGAATTTACCTGTATAACAAACCTGCACATGTACCCATGAACTTAAAATAAAAGTTAAAAAAAGACATATGCATCCAAAAAACGAGTGAAAATATACATTGTCTAAATGTAACTATTAGAAATAAGAAGTTTAAGTTTAAATTTAAAATAATCTTTTGATAATTCATAGTAACATAAATAGAACTTTAAATTTTGCCTTCCCCCTAATTGCACAAAGCAATGATTCTAGGCTATCTGTATCATACCAAGGGATATTTGACTCTGGTATGGACTCCTTGGTATTTCTTGGCTGATGCCTTTTAACTAGGGTGAAAGTGTGGGGTAAAAAATTAGCAGAGTTTTCGATTAGCATACAAGCACTTGAGTCCCTGCCACTGAATGGTTAACAAAATCAACAAAGTCAATAGTCACAAACGTCATTATTTGCAGGTTTTCAAGTCCAGACTTCTTTGAAATAGTGATGGATGGTCTCTTGCTGCTAATAAAAAATTGTAAAAATCTGTCTATGATACAAGAGTCCAATTCTAACATAATAAAGGGGAGACTATGGGCAGAACACCTAAAGCCAAGTTTATGATTTCCCAATCAATAACCAAAGCTATTAGCACAAGAAAGGGAGATCCATAATGATGGAGAATTTCTGTTGTTCCCTCTCTCCATTAGATGCTAGGGTATTGAGAACAGATTCTATATTTTATAACTTACTTTGTAATCTTAGGATGTAACACAGTGCCTGACAGAGTAGAAGTCAATATACGTTTGCTTCACAAATAAATGACAACTTTCATGATAAAAGGTTCATATGTCTGCAGATTTCACAGTTTTGAAGAGATTTTCAGTAATATTCAGACATTTATACAAAGAACTTAAATGATTTCCAAGGTCACAGTTTCTTAATAATAAGCATGGCTCTAGAACTTAGGCCTACTTACTCCTAATACAGTGTGCTTAGCTATATTTTTAAATATCAAAATGCATATACTATGAGCATAAATTTTATGGGTCAATTAAAAATTTCCTAACATATTATTAGATGGTATCTGTCTTTAAGCTTATAATATATTTTCCTTCTAGGGTTAATGCTGGAATCACACACAAGTCAAGGGAGAATCCAGTTGACCACTGAAATTTCAATTTTCAGTGTAAAATGAAGAGGTTATCTCTGATGTGTGCTTGCTAAACACCTTAGAGATCTAGATTTCTGACTATATATTTGTATGTCTTTATTTTGGTCAAAATTTAAAGCACATTATGCAATCCCTGTAAAATAAGCCCTTGGTGCTTGAGTATTATACTAGTTTATCTTTCATAAATTAAGCTAAACAATCTGAATGCTGCCTTTGGTGGCCAAATTATTCTGCTGTAACATGATCAATTATCTATATTGAATAATTGAACTCTTCAAGAAATAAGTGACACATCCCTTTACAAATGTAGTGACCAGCCTGGGCAACATAGTGAGACCCCCATCTCTCCAAAAAAAAAAAAAAATAGCTGGATGTGGTGGCATATTCTTGTAGTCCCAGCTTCTAGGGAGGCTAAGACAGGAGAATTTCTTGAGCCCAGGAGGTCGAGGCTGCAGTGAGCCATGGTCACACCACTGCACTCCAGCCTGGGCAACAGAACAAGACCATGTCTCAAAAAAAAAAAAAATTACCTATATCTTGCGAAGTTTCCATTCTGTTCTGACTTAACTGTGCATGCCCTATTGGTATATATGAACATTTTCAAAGAAAACTTTTCAGTGACTGACATCTGAGGAACAAATCTGTGTCTCAAACTATGTTTGAAGTGATATCCTTTCACTAGTAGTCTTTTAAAATACTAAATATCAAATTTAGTTCTAAGAGATTACATAATTCATTTTTATAACTTAGATCAGTAATTCTCAAATAGAAATATAGCAGTGTCTCTGAGGGAGAGAGAGAACATTATAAGATATTAAATTTATTAAAGGGTACATAAGCTGGAAAAGGTTGAGAGAGCTTGTCACAAAGAAAAATTATCTGGACACCCCTGGAGATCTTACATCAAATGGAAAAAAGGAAGTTCACAAAAGTTAATTGATTTTAACAACATAAATGAAATCTAGAACAAATTAATTTTAATGACTATTTTCAAAGAATGATTAATTTGTTAATTATGAATTCTAAAACTAGAAGTTGGCATATGTATGGAATAATATGGACAATATTGGACTGAGGGCAAGAGAGAGCTGAGTTCAAGTCAGTTCTCTGCTATTAAATAATGGAGTCCTTCATTGTTCTGAATTTGTGTTTTCTTATGTGAATATGAAGGGACTAGCCTAGATGATTGCTAAATGACCTTAAAGTTCTACCCAATTCTTGTTTTTTTTTTTGTAAAAGCATTTTATAGCCCCCACACACACTAAAAATAGCACATAGTACATATGTAGAGGGATAATAGCTACAATTGTTTTCATAACTAGAACTTAAGTCCCTGACTATGGCAGACAGACTAGGAGATCATGCATTTTTTTTTTTTTTTGACACCTAGTTTCACTTTGTCTCCAGGCTGGAGGGCAATGGCTCAATCTCGGCTCACTGCAACATCCGCCTCCTGGATTCAAGCAATTCTCCTGCCTCAGCCTCCCGAGTAGCTGGGACTACAGGTGCACACCACCATGCCCAGCTAATTTTTGTATTTTTGGTACAGACGGGGTTTCACCATGTTGGCCAGGATGGTCTCGATCTCTTGACCTTGTGATCCACCCGCCTTGGCCTCCCAAAGTGCTGGGATTACAGGCATGAGCCATTGCGCCCAGCCGGAGATCACGCATCTTAACCAAGTCTATATATCAGAATCACTTGTGAACCATCATCCTCTTGGAAAATCTTATTTGAACATCTCTCCCAGTGATTTTTGACATCTATCTCTGGTTTTAAAGACTACAGTTCTAGACTGTCTCTTGACAAAACGTTTCTTTGGGTTGCAAAAATCTATGCTAACATGGGAAACAAATGCAAAATCATAATTAATTTCAAAATAGATCATTTCTTTCCTACCCATTTGTGGATAAACACAATCTCTCTTATTTTTGATTCTCACTGGATCAGAGCTGATCAGACCTTAGATATTTAACTTTTTTTCTTGAACCCATGACAGTAGAAGATCAGGTAATAGAAACTCAGTTGGCATTGAGATACAGTATGTATAAATAAAGAGGAACACACATATGTATTTTAAGTTATATATGTATATATGTTATATACATATTTGCATATATTTCATACCTCATATCTTCTGTTTGCTCCTCCAAATCCACTTGCCACCCTTTCCACCATTTTCCTCCCTGTTTTCTGCTGCGGGAGACTGACCTGAATGAACTATAATAGTTCCCATGCCCTCTGGCCAATAGGTAGCTCTGGTAGGACATCATAAAAAGGGAGAAGAATGAATTCAGTTTATTATGCTCCCGGATCACTCCTGGCAAAGTCGTCTTCAACTGGCTGTGTCCTTTGACCAGGTCTCCAGTTGGTAAGCTCTTTATGGCACGCTTTGCTTTCAAGTTCTGATAAGTGTTCCCTTCCCTTATCCCTTGAAGGATGGTAAAAGCTCTGATGCAATTGACCCCAGTTTGTCACACTAGTTCTTGTGGCTTCTCTGCCTTTACACTTTATAAATAGACCCTTGTAAATAAATCCTCCTGAAATTATCTTATTTGAGCATGCCATCTATTTCCTATTTACTGGGTTCCTGACTGATACTGTTTTTTATGTTAATGGTGCCTTTGAGAATATTTGATTAATACCAAAAATTATGGAATGCATGGAGACTTGAGCTTTAGTTTGTAAAAAAAAAAAAAAAAAAAAAAAAGAAGGAAAGAAAAAGCTTTAATTCTTCTAAAAACAGTATACCTTAGCAGCTGAAGAAGAGTGTGATAAATTGTGTTGAAATTGAGGTAGTGGTGGATATGAGAAAATGGGACATTGGTCTGATCTGTGATATGGAAATAAAGCAAGGAAATGTGAATTTTAACTGAATGCAAACACCAAGTCACAAGGCTGAGGCTGTTAGTATTTCTTTTCATGCTCCAGAGACACTTGATCTATAATATTGCATTCATCTGGGGGCAGCTCATTAACAGAAAAATACAGGCAAGCTGGAAGGAGTTCATAGAGGAGTAACAAAATGGTAAAAAGCACTGGAGGATTGACATGTGGGAAGAGATTAAAAAGATGAAATCACTCTGCTTTAGCTAAGTGGTGACTAAGGGGGAACATGTCAACTGTCTACAATTATGTGAAGGTTATAAATTCCAAAAGAAAGGCAGTGATTACTACAAATCAAGGTAGTGCTCTGTGTAAAGAGACACATTAACAAGGGAAAAGTTTAGATCAAATAACAGGACCATTTTCTAATGTAGAGCTATATTATGTCTTATAAAGCTAAGTGTTACACACTATAGCCTTTGAAAAAGACAAAAATGAAACAAATTACAAATCATTTCTTAATGATATATATGAATTCTCTGTAGCTAGATAGATTACATATCTATCCATCTATCTGTTGATATACCTTAGAAATCAGCCTTTTACAAACATATATCGGAATTGAAATAGTGACTGGTGCTATTACTATAGGTTTTGTGCTAGACATTTAACAAGAATCTTGTTTAATTTTAAACATTGTACTTTGACAATTAAGGCAACTGTGGGTTAGAACATCTGAGTAACATTCGGAAGGTCATCCAGCTAGTAAGCAGCAGAGCCAGGAAATGGACCCAGGGGTCTTCATTTCCATTCCTTTGCTAACTAACTCCTGGATAGTTAAAATATTTCAGTACATTATTATATCTTAAATTTTCATTATCCCATTATTTACATGGCTATATGAACTATTTTACTAATTTCCATAAAGCATTTTGTTGCTGATTTCCTTGACTACATAGCAATGTATTTCAGGTACCTTGAAATATAGCTACTTGTAGTCATCAAATCTGAAAGGCACAGACATTTCCGCAGCCATTACCCATTCTTGAGCAATCCATGTGGTCACCACCCATTCTAGCTATGTGGATGAGATAAAGCTCAAATAATTTCATTTCTTTATCCTTCTAGACACTAGTCACTTATAATTTTAGAAAATAATTTCTCCATCCACTACTTTATGCAATTCAAATTACCTAATAAGTTATACCATATTAATGAGGTTTTCATTTGAAAGAAATTATGCTATTGGGCTCTTTATAAAAAGAAAAACTAATCACCTTTCACACTTCGTATATTTTTTCAGTTTAATTAATAGATATTTTGAAAGAAAACCATGCTCATGTATAATATTTCAAACAGTACAGCAGACCATAAAGTAAAATGAATAGAGCCCCCATTCCTCTGCCATCTTTAAATTCTGTGGTTAGAAGTAAATACTGCTAACATTGTCTTTTGTATCCTTTCAGGAGTTTTCTATGTACATATCTGTACACATTTTCTTTTTTATCACTTAGCCATTTATCTTGGTTATCTTTCCATATTAGCACATAAAGTGCTACTTTATCCTTCTAAAACATTCTATTGTATGGGTTATTTATCCAATGCTCTTTCGAGAGGGACATTTAACAGGTTTGTAGAGACTGTTAAACGCACAATTCTGTTATGAACATAGATCTCTATTTATCTTTGTATACTTTCCCATACTGACAGAGCAAATTTCTAGCTGGGGCATTTCTCGGTCAAATTGTGTGCAGTTAAATTTTTATAGGTTTTTACCAAAATGACCATCCCCCAACTTGGGTTTTATGACATAAAAAAAACGTGACAGTTTAAGCAGGCTGTTCATACTTTAAAACTCATATTGAATTTCAAGGTGTGATGGTATCAACTTCTGCTTTGTGGGCATAAAATGGCCATTTGCAAAAGAACATTTTATTCTACGTAGATGTATTAGTCCTGGATCAGGCTTACCTTTGCCCACTTATATTTGTAAATCAATAACATGTCTTATCTGTATTTTCCCATGGCTTAATTAAAATAAATGTACTAATGTTTAAAATAATGAATTTGATTACTTCTTTGTTCTAGGCTTTTGCTTGGGTTATTTCTTCTACCTGGACAATCTGCCTTGCTCCAACCTTGCATGTCTAAATTCCACCTACCCTTCATGCTTTATTTAAAATGATACCTTCCCCATCTGAATCATGTTTCCTTCCTCAGAACTTTCAGCACCTCTATTTAACCCTTTTGTAATAAAGCTATACATTTATAAATCCCTGAAAATGATAGCTGTCATTATTAGTAGGCTCTGGATCTCTTCAGTTCTATAAATGTTCTTATCTTTCCCTGTTTGCACTTACCTGCTCCATGGATTAATTTAGTCCAAACTACATATTCAGTATTGTGATACTACTTTTATTTTATTTAAAAAAAATCCACATTTTCATTTTTAACATCAACTAATTAAAATAATATTTTTATCCTAAAGTTCCAGGATTTCCAATACAGCAGAACATGATTTAAAAATATCTGTTTGGAACTTAGCTCATAAACAAATACAGCTTTAAAAACTGCCAGTTAAATCTGAAACATACTGGTGGGAGTAGCATGGATGCTATCATATGCAAGGCCTTTAGGGGGAGGCTAGCAGGGTTGCAGGCTAGCATAGTTGACACGCCATTGGACCTATTTATAGAGCTGAGTTCTTTTTGCAATGTCAACTGTAACATTATACCTATTTTAAGCCTCAGTATCTCAAATGTCAGCCTCTACTAGTCGTACAGTTCTCTCTTATTTGATATCAGAGAGCCCAATGGAGCCTTCTGAAGTACCTAGTCAGATTAGCAAAGATAATTTTTTAGAAGTTCCTAATTTATCTGACTCTCTTTGTGAAGATGAAGAAGTTACTTTCCAACCTGGTTTCTCCCCTCAACCAAGTAGACGAGGTTCTGATTCTTCTGAAGACATATACCTGGATACCCCATCTTCAGGTACTAGAAGAGTTTCATTTGCTGATTCCTTTGGATTCAATCTTGTGTCTGTTAAAGAATTTGATTGCTGGGAATTACCGAGTGCTTCAACCACTTTTGACTTAGGGACGGACATTTTCCACACAGAAGAATATGTTTTAGCCCCACTGTTTGACTTGCCTTCTTCAAAAGAAGATCTTATGCAACAACTCCAAATACAGAAAGCAATACTGGAGTCAACTGAGTCTCTTCTTGGGTCTACAAGTATCAAGGGTATTATTCGAGTTTTGAATGTTTCTTTTGAGAAGTTAGTATATGTAAGAATGTCTTTAGATGACTGGCAGACACATTATGACATTTTAGCAGAATATGTTCCTAATTCATGTGATGGTGAAACTGACCAGTTCTCCTTTAAGATTGTATTGGTTCCTCCTTATCAAAAAGATGGCAGTAAAGTTGAGTTTTGTATACGTTATGAAACTTCTGTTGGTACATTTTGGTCAAATAATAATGGCACAAATTATACATTCATTTGTCAAAAGAAAGAACAAGAGCCGGAGCCTGTAAAACCATGGAAAGAAGTTCCTAACAGACAAATAAAAGGCTGCTTAAAGGTAAAATCAAGGTGAGGATATATCTTACATATTTTATTATTCACAATCTTAAAGTTTTTATGTCATTCTTTATTTCATGTGTTGTAAGAAAGTGACTCTATTTAAAAATATACTGCTTGCTATGTAAAAAACAATGGTGCCAGGCTTTAACAAGGTCAAAGCTATTCAAATAATAGCACTGTGTAACCCTTTCTACAAATGTGAGAAAAAATATGGCTGTAATGCAATAGGTTGGGAGAGAAGTGCACTGTGTATATTACTTGCCTAATGAGTTATAAATTATTCCTGCTCAAACCATGAAATCTAGATTATTCACATATAAAATTATTTACTTTGACATTTAAAGTACTTTTATTTTCAGTCGTTTTTAAATGTCTATGCTTTCCTTTGAAACAGTTTTGATTAACATAAAACTATATTTCAATATGTATCTAGTTCTCAGAAATTTGTAAACTTCTCCCAAAAGCTGCAAAGAACTTCTTCATAACTGTTTTGAGTTATACAGGGATGTTTGAAGTGATACATGTTAATTTAAATTATAAAAGAAATGACCTTAATGATTAACAGAAAGACATAAGTATATCAGTGATATATGAGTTACACACAAAATTTCATTAATTATAACCAAGAATAACATTATGGAACACAAATTAGTATAATTTAGTAAAAGTCAATGGAGCAGAACAAAAAATGACCCAAATATAAATAGGGATATTCAGCTATATAGATTAGAGATTTGGGATGTGACCCCTCATTAGTAACCTTACTCTCTTGTTAATGTGAAAAATAAGAAAAACTGGCATTCAGCTGTCTCGATAGTACATAGCTGGCTAATTTCTGTGACACTAGGTAAGTAGAGAAAACATTCAGGAGAAGTGAGACCCCTTCTGCTCCTCAGTATCCCAGAGGGAAAGTCTACATTGCTCCAGCCACAGGCAAATGTTTGATCATCCTCTGAGTGGTCCATCTTAACTGTCCCTAAACCCAAGGATTTTGGTAACTGTACCAGAAATAGTGTAATGTAGGAAATAGGAAATATAGGAAATAGGAAAGGGAACTGTTTTGGAATCAAGACACCCAGATTTAATTCTCTAAGGGGAATTTAATACAAAGCATAAGATACGATATTGGGAAATTTTTTTAAAAATTGTGCTTTAAACGATAAATAATAACTACTAAATGCATTGTTCCAATGTATTAATAAACTAAATGCAGTATAGATGGAAGCAATTCAAACATATATATTATGTTTATTTTCATTTTCCTTTAAAGTCATCTGAAATATTGGCTTAATCAACTTTGTGAATTAGGCCAACTTTCTTGGTCTAAATCAAACTTTCTTTGATTTTAACTGATGCTGTTAGGAAAGAGAGTATAATAATCTCTACATAGGCTAAAATAATAATTTAGATGTTTATGAAATTACTCTAACACATTAGCTACACTAACAAAATAAGTTCAACATTATTTAGCAAACTAATTTATATGCATAATATATACATATTAAATACTTTAGAAATGAGATAAGCATTAGTGAATATCTGTTAAACACACTGCAACTTGCTCTATATGTTAGAGAAACCAAAATTTAGAAAAGGCGCAGCATTATTGTCTAAAAGCTCATAAAAGAGGCAGTGTTGAACTCAGCGGATTTTTCTGCAATTTAATGCAGTTTTAAAATTCAAGCAATACCTGCTGAACTGTGGTTTGGATAGGGGATTCCTTTGATTCCTTTGATATGCCAAACTTGACTGATACCAAGGCAAAGACTAG
The DNA here is from genome assembly GCF_000001405.40 of Homo sapiens. Taxonomy (NCBI): domain Eukaryota; kingdom Metazoa; phylum Chordata; class Mammalia; order Primates; family Hominidae; genus Homo; species Homo sapiens. The sequence goes on along the minus strand of NC_000007.14, from coordinate 113,916,452 downwards.
CCAACTGATAGGCCTCATCTTCTACCTTGGTCATAATATTTTTGGAACTTCTCCTAGTTGAAGATATGTAGAACTATATGTATCCACACATACATTTGTATTCAGAACAGTAATCATTGGATTCACAGCGGACACCATTCAAGTTTTAATATTGCTTTGGGGAAAAACCTGAGAAGAACTAAACCACAAAATGGTCTGAAGGCCTGTAAAGTTTCCTAATGAGTTATAAAAATGGAAAAAATCTCTCTCCCTCAAAACCACAAATACATTTTCTGCACTTCTGTAACTTAAAAATGACCAACATAATTCGAACCACATTTTGAAAAAAGCATTTGCCTCTGGAGGAGGCATTTTGTGCTGAATTTCAGTCCAACATGAATTTTTACATCTGATTTATATACCACTCAAAATGGAGTGTATAAAGGAAATCCTGACAGATCCTTAGAACAGCATGTGCCATAATAGAATATTTATACAGCTTTTCCATGATATAATTTATATGCAATGGGGTTTCAAATATTCCTAAAACTCACACAAGAGAGCATTATCAAATTTCTAAATGAATATTGCAGTTGGATTTTATTGTGAAGAGTTTGGTTAGAGAAAAATAGCACACCTTATCGGTGTTATTTTACAAAATGTGTACTTGACTAAAATAAAAATGAACTAATACTTATTTGATCAAAAATTATAGCTACTAAAATCTCTTCTCTCCAAATAGTTACAGAATCTAAATGGGTCATTTCTGAGCATTTCTACACTTCCTATGTAGCTTAATTTGGAGGTTATTTCTTTCAGAAGGTAAAAACAGAATATATATATGTATATATATGTATGTGTATATATATGTATATGTATATATGTATGTATATGTATGTATATATGTATATGTATATATGTATATACATATACATACATATATATATATGATTTTTTCTTTATACCTGCAAATAGATTAGTAATAGTATGTAATATCAGTCATAGCTAAAATGAAAATCAGGCTGCCCTAGTGTAGAGAATAACAGCTAACTTCAATTCTTCTTAATAAAAAAGTTAATTTGCTATCAGGGTGCCTGAGATTGTATCTTCTGAAAGTGTCAATAATCCCTTCTAATAAGTATGGAATGAATGAATGTGGAAATACATTTAGGTAGGATTTCTGTTAAGTCAATCACCCACCCAGGCATTATGTTTTCTCTATGGAGATTTTTCTCATGTTAAGAGTTTGCAAATCTCCACATTGGTGTGGGTTGTCTATTTTCTTTTGATGCCTGATAGTCTGTACACTTTGGACAGAAAGAAATATGTAGAGAGAAGGGGAGGCAGAGCTTGTAACTCATAGGCATGTGATTGAGAGTGACCCAAAGATATTTAATTGCACCGAAAGGCATGCATCATGAGATACTTAAGTATCACCACATATGCTAGCAAACTAAGCAGATTCCTGATATATCTGATGGGTTTTATTTTAAAATCAATGACAAAAATGACATTGATATAAATCACATTAAATGTACATAGACAAATAAGCTAAAATGGCATGCAAAACAATATAACCTCAAAGTTAGGATTTTAGGCTTCAAAGTTAAAGATATCTGAGTTTGAATCCAAGCTCTCCTACATGCTAGCAATATGAACTTGGGCAAGTTAAGCTTGTTTTTCTGGTATGTTAATTGAGAACAACTACAGCTCTATCTCATAGGGGTTGAGATTTCGGTGAAGTAATACATATAAACTTTTAGCACAGTGTCTGGAACATAATAAGTTATCAGTAAATGTTAACTGCTGTAAAAAGACAATGGTAACTTCAGCTTTAGGTGTATCTGAAAAACTGCAAGGCTCAAGCTGCACCAAAGTTCTTCTCCTCTTTCATTTCAGGGCTTCTAAATTTTCAGCTTTGGAGAGCCATTCCTTTGTCTCTTGCAAGATTTTAATCAACAAGGAAGACTAACTGAACTGTAAATTTTCTTGAGAAATGTGTCACTTTATATATGAATTATCTTAAAGCTGGAAGAGAACTTAGGAATGTTAAAATTTCCACATTTAATAGATGAAAAAATGAAGAACTAGACCAAAAGGGATAAAAAGGCATTCATTTAGGATTGAACAGACATGCATATTAATTTCAGTAAAGTTTACACTTAGTAGCTATGTGGCTGTGGGCATATTACTTCAGAGCTCAAAGCCTCAGTTTATTCACCTGTCAAATAAGGGTCATGATGTCTAGTGTCACATTGATTAAAATAAGTTTATATACTTAAAGCTTTTAATATAGCATGTTAGACACACATGAGGATATCATCAAAAGCCCTTCATCACAATTGTCCCTTTTATTATCAAATCTTGTTCAGCTAATGTCCTGACTCTTGAACTTGCATTATTTCTCCATACATCATAGGTTTCCTTGTTTCAGGCTCCAAAACTTATTCAACAAATGTTTACTAAAGAACTGTATGTCAGGTTCTGAGTTGTTAGGCAGCAGTATCGATAACTGAGAAATGTGGCTGGAGACAGGCGCCTGTGAAGACAAGAAGAGGCCCCAAGGGAAAAGGCCTTGAAAAGCAGAGAGAAATGAAGGGAAGAGAGAAAACACCAAAACCAAGTTCAGATTCTCTGGGTATACAGTAGAAGCCATAGATAAAAAATGAAATAAGAATTATTTCCACTTGAGGTTTTCTAGAATATGTGACCTAGAGCTGACACTGTGTACTTACTGGCCTGGGGGGTGGTCTCCCTTCTCAGCATCTTGGCTTTTTTTCCCCACTGCCTGCTAAATGTATGTTCCTAATGGCTGGGTACACCGGTTGAGTTCATCTGGTTTTGTATTTTATTAAGTGAAACCAATTTATTATTTTAAGTAAAGAAACTGCATGATATAGGTGTTTGATGGTATTTATAACTTGGCCAGGTGAATGCAAATAAAGTCCTAAATGACTTTAATGCCAAAGGAGAAAATTGATTAGTCCTCAATTTTTGTACTGTAGGAAAAAAACCAGGTACGTTCAGGAACAGGAAAGAGAGAACTCCTTTCTAAAACATAATTTTAAGAATACAGAGGGTTTATCTTTCAGGGTGGTAAAATTGTGAAAATGAGGCCAAGAAAAGCATTGGGAAATGGGGTCTAAGATATGGCTACATTGTGTGTTTCAGTCAGAGCTGTTGGATTGTGAGACTTCCTTAATTTACGCATACAGTATAATCTGGGGTCCTGGAAATAGTCCAAAGAGGTGTAAATAGCCCCACGAGGCCTTTGGGACCTCACGTATGCCATAACTAACTCGTTTTGAGTCCACACTAATTGTGGAAGCTGGGTCTGTTTAAGGAGGGACCTCTGGCAAGGCCACGTGGAAACATAAAACACAGCTGTGCAGGGCCCATCAGGAGGGTGTTTGAAAGCAGCCAGCTGGTTGACAGCGAGGTGCCAACTGGCTTCAAGTTTCCTTGGAGGTCCACCAAGGCTTCATGGTTTCCTGGTTTTGTGGAAATCCATACCCCATCCTAGACTTTCCCTAGAGTGATTTTGAAACTTTTCTGAGAGAAGAGGAACAAAAGGGTATCCTCCTTCAGGGTGTCTCTCATGCTGTGGCTGAAAGGAGTCACTATGAATGCCATGCCTCAAATGGATCCTCTGGGATCTCTGAGAGCCTATCCCTCCCCACCTGAAGCCCATCTGCAGCCTGTAAAAATAAAGCAGAGCCCACTATTTCTGAGCCAAAAATGCTCCTGGCAAAAAAAGAAAAGAAAAGAAAAAAGGAAGAAGAAAAAGATGGCACCGTTATGAAGTGGGTCAACTTAGTTTTTCACCTTCCTCCACTTCTGCTAACTGTGACTCTCATCCCTATTCCAGGTTTTTACCCCTACCCCTCAACAGGAAATAATGCAGGGGAAAAGACCTCAAGGGCAGATATCTGAAGTGGATCCGATTGCCCAGGGCCCTATCAAACTTAAAAAATCCTCTATAATCTGACACCTCATTTTGTAACCTTGCCTAAAATTTACATATATGTGTTTGTGTATATATATATGTGTGTGTGTGTTGTATGCTTATATATGTATGTACACATGCACACACATGTGTGAGATTTTCCTTCTTAAATGGAGACCCCTCGAGGGTGGCAGGAGCTATTTCAATCTTATACCCATTGAGGTCAGTTGCACAGAGGCACTTTGAGTTTGGATTGAGAAAATGGAAATGTCTGATTTTAGAGCAGAGAGCACTACAGAATACAAGGTAGATTTAAGTACGTTGTGATAGGGTTCCATAGTAGTATGAGACTCATGGGGTCTGAAGTACATGTGTATATGGAGGATGGAGAATTCCAAAAACATTGAAGCATAATGGAAACAGCAAGGGCTTTAAAGTAAGGCAAGACCTTGAGGCTTTAATTCTAACTAATTACTATCTGCTTGACTTGGATAAATTATATTTTGTATCTATTTTATTCAAGTGTAAAATAGGGATAATAATTTCTACTTGGCAGAGTTGCTATGAGGAATACATTAGCTAACACATACAAGCATCTATTCCAGTTGCTGACATTTTGTAGATACTCAAAGTGGTAGTATTAATGACATTGGTGATAAATTCCACATTTTCCAATCTTGTGTATGGCTAGTACTGTGCCCAAGATTAACGGAGAAATGCTGTTTTCCCTCATCATTCCTGCTACCAGGACCCAGGCTAAAACAAATAGTTTCAAAATTAATCATGTTATGGTTCAATAAGTCTTGGGGGACTAGCCAGGGAGACGAGTATTTATAGCATTGCTTCTATGGGTAAATGATTTCCAAATTTTAGCAACTTCTGGGTCACACACAAAAAAAGCTTTGGAACATCACCTGTTCATAAATTGGAAACTGAGGACATGTTTTTCTTAAGGTAGTTCTTCTGAAGATGGTTCTTTTGGACTAAATATCTGAGTTGATTGCACACAATTCACCTTATTATCTCTTTATGCCTATGAATAGAAGATGAAATTGAAGTTTATATAATTCTCTTCTTCTAAGAAAATACATTATGCAACATCAAATTTCGGTCATTCCTCTGTTTTAAAGCATTCTATGTATCCCACAACTATACGAAAAGGAATATATCTCTTTTCAGAGTATTATCTCTCAAATCTTTTCTGGTGTCCATTCTGCTGCTTCAATAGCTTTACTAGGTTAACTAGCATGGTAGTGTTATTATCTGTTAAATAAAAATAACAACTGGTTTTGAAGCCTTAATCATGCCATCCTGCTGTTTAAAGATCTTATGATAAAAAGATGAAAACAAGGAATTTGCTAAATTTAACTGTTATACTGCATTGCTCAGGGACAGAGACCAATTAAACAAACCTGTCGTAGGAAATTCTAAAATTCCCTCCACACCAAGTTACTCTGAAAATGATCTGTCTGTGTTGTATATCAGCACTATTCAAGTCACAACTATGAATTGAATTTTAATATTGTAAGGTAATGGTTGTCTTATGTGTAGTCATGGTTTTGATTTTTATTTACACCTTTTGAAATTTGCAGTAGTAAAAAGGATTCAAGTACCCTCCCCATTGATATTTGTAAATTATACTGAATAGTGAAAATGCTTTTCCTAATTATGTGAAAACATTTCTTAGCCCATTGACACCATCAGAATATCATCCGTGGTATTTAGAGAATTAAGCCATGGTACAAACCTAACCTATTGACTATAAATCTGTATGAATAACCTCCAGCTGATTTTCATTTCTAAAAATTACTGTGGATGTGTTAACACAATTACAAATCACATAGAGTTGCTAAGATAAATTTCAGTTTCACAAACTATATTTGAAAAACAAAATATAGTCTATCAACCTCACCTTTTGAAGATTAATATTTATAAATAATTTTATTATATGTTAAAACAACTTAAATCTTGTAAGTACTTACCAATAGAAAAATTGAAGTTTTAAAAAGTCACATTTAGCTGCAGCAGAAAATAGATTATATTGTTCACATATAATCTTAAGTAGGTGCATAAGATTATTGTGTTTATTGTATTTAGTATTTAGTGTAAATATAGTTATAATTATTGTTTCCAATGTTAATACAGTACTTGATTTCTGAACAGTTTTTGTTGAATCCTTTTGTAGGAGAGACTATCTAATTCTATCCTTTGCTTTTAGCAGTATTCAGAAAACACCCAGGTCAAATGGTTATATATTTTCTTCTTAATCATCTTGATATGGTTTGGCTGTGTCCCCATCCAAATCTTACCTTGAATTGTAATAATCCCCACGTGTTAAGGGTGGGGCCAGGTGGAGATAATTGAATCATGGGGGTGGGTTCCCCCATACTGTTCTCGTGGTAGTGAATAAATCTCGTGAGATCTGATGGTTTTATAAATGGGAATTCACCTGCACAAGCTGTCTTGCCTGCTGTCATGTAAGATGTGCCTTCGCTTCTTTGTCTTCCGTCATGATTGTGAGGCCTCCCCAGCCAAGTGAAACTGTAAGTCCATTAAACCTCTTTCCTTTATAAGTTACGTAGTCTCAGGTATCTCTTTATTAGCAGTGTGAGAACAAACTAATACATATCTCTTGGGAAGATTATGTTCTTCAATAATGTGTTCTATCAGAAAAGTTCCATGACTTTAATGTAGCCACTTACGTTGTTCTGTCTTTAGTCATTTATTTACTCTTTCAGTTGAATTAAATGTTGGAATCCCTATCCTTATACATTAAAATCAAGCAAAATTATATTGTTTCTCTCACAGACTTCTATTTTCCATGTCAAATAACCTCAATAACTTTGTTTTTCCCTTGAGGTCTGAATTAGTTAACTAGAAAACAAGTTTGTAGTGTTTTAATGCATACGCCAGAGAAGAAAAAACTCCATCATCAACTGAATTCTCATAAGGGGTGAATGACATCACTATTACCAGGACCATACATTGTCAACACTGATGGATCAGGAATAGCCCAATTGGTCAACAGGAGTTTAACTAAGGCACTCTCCAAGCCCTGCCTTCTTTGTTTGAATTCTCAGTGTTGGAGGTACTATTATTACAGTATTTCCTCTGGGAGTCAGAGAAGGAAAGGAAACTTTATTTTATAAAATTAGAAAGTTAAAAGTACTTCAGAAGATCGCTTCATTTATTCTTCTATCTTACCTAAAAAGATAGCTATATTAGAATTCTTGAAAACTGTGGACAAATAATGAGCAATTAAGAATTAAAGTTACACTATTTTCTAGATACCTAATTTTAAAATAACATTTCTTTCCAGAATGTAACTGTATAAATAAAATGCTGAACATAACTTTTTAGCCATTATTAATTTCTTTTTTACATTTTTATTTTATTTTAGATTCAAGGGGTCCATGTGCAGGTTTGTTACATGGGTTTATTGCATAAGGCTGGGGTTTGGACTTCCATTCCTCATATTGTAAATGTAGTAATCATGAGGTGGTTTTTCAAACCTTGCTCCCCTCTTTCTCTTCATAATTCTATCGTCCCCTGTGTCTGTTGTTTCCATCTTTATGGCCATATATACCAATTATTTATCTCTCACTTATAAGTGAGCACATGCAGTATTTGAGTTTCTGTTTCTATGTTAATTCACTTAGGATAATGGCCTCCAGGTGGATCCATGTTGTTGCAAAGGACATAATTTCATTATTTTTAAGGGGTGCATAGTATTCCATAGTGTATATATACTTTTTCTTTATCTAATCCACCATCAATGGACACTTAGGTTCACTCCATGACTTTGCTATTGTGAATAGTGCTACAATAACATCTACGAGTGTGTCTGGAAAAGAAATGTTGAATAAATTTATAAAAATAAAATGCAGTTTAGACCCACTGAAATTTAAATTGGTTTACATTGTATCCTTTTGTTTTAAAAAGGTTAATATTGTATCTACAAGCAGAAATTATTTGAATATATACTAAATTTCTTGACTTTGTGTGTATGTATAATTTTAACTAAAAGCTATTTGTTCTATCAATGAATATATACAGAATATTGGTACAGCCATTCCAGTTGATTATTTAGGAAATTAAACATGGGAAGCAGTGTAATACTGCCCAGTTACACTCAACTCATCCTTGATGCACCGCTTTTTTCTGTGGAAAAAATACACACACACACACGTGTGTGCACACACGAGCTTTTCACTTAACCTGATCTCTTTCTTATGTGTGTGTGTAATCCATATAATGAAGACATTCTTCAGAGAGTTCATATGTTAGCTAGTATTTTATATTTTCTATATCGGTAATATCTCATTCCAAGTTAACTTTGGTAAACTGAGTTAAGTTTTTAGACATTGGCAATTATGTGAACATTCAAGGCATTTGCTTGCAAATCTCATAAAACCCATTTAGTTCAACAGGACCCCTAGTGCTACTGTCTATCCATATTATGGAACTTGCTTTGACCTCTGATTTCTTTTTTTACTTTCTTTAATTTACCAGTATTTCTAGCAACATTTTCCCATGAAAGAGCTAATTCTAGAGCACAACTTTTCCTAAATAAAAAGTTGCTGTTTGTCACTATTACATCTGATGCAATTTATTTATAGGCGAAGAAATTAACACCTAGCAAAAGACTTACCAGATATTTTTGTGTCTGGAAGAAATAGAACCTTTGCCACAACGCCCTCTATATCTGTTTAGTCAGCATGTTTACAATGGTGGCATTTCTAGGCAGCCTCCAGGTACGGTCTATTTTTTTCAAACCATAACATTATATTTTATCATTCATAATTTTTATATTTTAATAAGTAGTTTTATTCCCTTGTGAAAAGTTCAAAAATTATTTTATTGTAAAACACTTCAGTTAATTCATAGGCTACTTTCAAAGCTCATTTATTACATTTACACCATTTTAAAAAAACAATTATGAAACTACATCTTGCTGGCCATAATATAGGCAGGGTGATGGGAACAAGTATGTTGATTTTTTTTTTTGGTTAAATTCTGGAAATGTATTCCCTTAATCCCACGAGGTAGTTATAGATGAAGAAACTGAAACTCAGACTTTTCAAGGTAACTCTTGATGAAACTGGGATTACAGCCGCTTTTGATGTCAAAACCACCTTCCCCTTCACTACTAATGCTGCCTCATCAGGTAACCATTTGTGAACAGTAAAGGATATTAAATCTCAATAAAGTAGTGTACCCTTAATATGCTGAAATGTAAATATTTAGAAAGTTCCTCCGAGTTTATGAATACAATGTGATTGTAATAGGGCTTTCCTGGTTTCTGATGCTACTCATGAGCAGTAGTGATAAAAACAATACATTATGGGGTTTAACAATCCTATTAATAATAAAAGATTCTGATTTACAGGTAAACATGAATACAGCCAAAAGGATGTTTTTAGAGCTTTCCATTATGCAGACACTAGCTCTTCCACTTGTGTTCACTGTTTCTATTCAAGCCACTTGCGTGCTTTGAAAACATTTTTTTCCTTGTCTCTTACTATTCCATTTCCACCTTCCACAGGAACGAGTTTGATTTTTCCCTCTTACTTGAGGCTTTCCTAATGTCTCTAATTTATCCAGATCCTTCCTTTCTCTAGGCTCAGCATTTAATGCCTACATCATTCATCTGGTAAATGTTAAATATTGCCTATTTCTGCACTTAAGAACTTGTACGTGTGACCTTTTTCCCAAGTTCTTTGAGGTCAGGAATGGTGTATTAGTCTAAGTATTAGTCCCCATGTGACCAACAAAAACCTTTGAAAAACTATTAATGCCAAATAGTTTTCTCATAGATAACTCTGAGGCCTAATAAAATCCAAAAAGACTTCTGAATAGTTAAATAATGAATTATGTTCATTGTAGTTCAAATGATGAATGCATTTATTGTTTTCATGATTTTTAAAAATCAGATGCTCCCTATACATCTCCATCTGGATCTCCAAGTGGCAAATTACTTTATGTTCCAAGTCAAAGTTACATTTATCCCCCAATCCTATTTCTTCGTCTTATATCTTATATTTTGTTTAAGTCATAGTCATCATTCCTGTCATTCAAATAAGAAACTTTAATATCAAACCTAATTTACCTTTGCCAACTCCTATTCTACATCCATATTATATTATATGGCCGTGGAGGTGATGATTGTTCCTTTGATCAAAAATACAATTATTTTAAAAATTAAGAATGCAATAGGATATACAAAGACTATATTTACATATGTTAAAAACAACAGATAGAAGGGGATTTGTCCCAGCAATAACTGCATATTTGTTGTCTAAATTGAATAAAAATTAATAGATAATTGAACACAATCATTGTAACATCTTGTAGACAGTCTAAATTTAGATGGTTTCTTTCAGTTACAAAGATATCAATGAAAAATCGAACTGAGAAATAATATAGTCTGCTACAGCATACTCTAATTGTTCAACACCTTCTTCTTTTCTATGACTTCTAAAGAAATGATTAATTGCACCATCATAATTTTACTTTTCTATAAGTTCAAGTAATTCTAACATCTCAAAAGAAATATTTATTGATCAGCCTTTGGCCTTCTTTATGATTCAGACCAGTGGGACCAGAACAAGAAACATCCAATAGGCTGAATAACAAAAGACCAAAGGTAGAAATTCTATGTTCACTGATCAGAAATGATTCACTTACCTTTTTCTTCTTGCCAGGGCCACTGCTCATATTAGTGCTGACGCTTATGTGGTCCTCACTGATGCTGGCATCCCTAGACACTCTACTAGTTGTATTCCACTGACATTTCTATCTTGAGATTGCAGAGTCTTGGTCCTTCCCTAAATGAAACAAAGAGCAAAACAAAAACCTAGAACCAGTGAGAGTAATGCAATGCATCTAAATGTTTCAACTCAAGACCTACAAAAATTTAGTGTGATGTGTCTACTACACTCTATTGTGTACTACTTAAAAGGTATTTTAAAATGGTTTTTGATAAAATTTTAGATTTATAGAAAAGTTACAGGAAGAATAGAAACAATTCCCATATTCATGTATATAAATGTTTTAAACTGTGTAACAGAGGGGTCTATTTGCATTGATTATTGTAGGCAAGGGCTTTTACTTTTGTAAACTTTAAGCAATGGGAATTTTTAGTTTGTAGCTGATTGCTGATTTCACTGAATATAAAACATCTTAAATATTTTGTGAAAATATTGACAAACTCAAATGGAATAGTACTATCAGGCATATTATAACACTCATAACTCTTAAAATTATAATATTTTTATGACAAGAATTGGAAACATATTTTAGGAAATTAGGGTGAAGTCTAAATAACTATGTATTTTATATAGCAAAAATAATATATTCCATCTATTATACATCAATTAATTCTTACATTACTACCCTTAATCCTCATAGTTTTCATTAAGAATTCTACTATAATTTTTCCTAATACTCATGCGAACTTCATTGTACAAAAGCTGAAGTCTCCACCCAAAGTAAAAATGTGTTGTGGAGATAGGTAATACATGGTGTTTGTAAGTATTTTATTTTCCACTTTCTCAGAATAATTGTTTCAGTGAAAGTAGCTAAAAGGTAAAATTTTATTGATACATTTTGTTGTTTTCCTATTAGCTTCAATATACAAATATGGGTCCCAGTGAAAACATTGTGAGATTGAATTAAACATAATTTTGAGAACGAATTAGCTGTTGACTGGAAAATATGGAGGGATACTGTTTTTAGTACAATAGAATATAATTTTCTGTACAGTGACTCCTGAAGAAATAAATTTTTGAAACCCTTTGTATAATTTTGCTGACATAGCTATAAAAGACAATTTTTTTTTCTTTGTATTTCCTCAATTTCTGGGTAATTCTTTGACCACTTATGATGATTTTGGACCAATTTCCTTTTATTCTTTTAATTTTGTATTTGAGGGTCTGTAACATTTGTTAGAACTTGGCTACAAAACCAGGTAAGAATCTCATCTCATGTATAATGAACTGTAGTGTATTGACAACTTGAGTTTTATGGTGTTTTACCATGTGAATAAGTTAGCTTGTTCTTCATCAATTTAGAATTTGCTATTACATAAACTTATGTATTTTTTAAATCTATTATGACTTCTTAAGTGGTATAACATTATCTCCCATTACTTCACAGTTACATTGTAGTAAGCAGAGCCAGTCCCATTTCACATAAGAAGAAATTTGTCAAAGGAAATTTATTTGATCAAGTCCAGGAAATGTATAGCAGGCGAAGCTGGGTTTGGGATTTAAGGTCTTTAACTCCCTATAGCTCTGAGGCATAGTGCTTCGATAAACTAATTATTCATAAAGAATTTACAGTCCCTATTTTACATAGAACTCTTTTAGGTAACTTCTATCTCTAAGCAAAGATTTGGTTTAGTGATAATATTTGTACACATGAGAAGTTAGCTATCGACATGGTATTTACCAAATAGAGTGAAACATACTCGGACAAATTCATAGGAGATAAAGAGCAATAGGCATTAGAAAAACGATTATACTGCAGGCTACCACAATTAGAGACAGCACCACAGAGGAATTGAATTTGACCTGCAAATGGTAAAATTTGTGAATGTGGAGAAGGAACAGAAGAACATTTACATACAGTATAAATATACTTATGGAGATGAATGCACAGAAAGTAAGTTGAAGATGTTATTAATCACACTGTCTGAAATGAAAGGAATTGTGGGAGTCAATCTTGAAAAGCAAGATTGAAAAAGAGTTGTACAGTCTTGCTAGGCTGAAGATTTTGTGCTTTAGTCTCTATGCTCAAGAACAAAGTATTTTTGGTTATATTAATCCAGAAAGAGTTTGGAGGGCACATTAGAATGGAAAAAAATGTAAGATTCAGTTTGCTAACTGTAAGGAGGAGAATTGAATGTAATCGTATTGAGTATGATTTCCCAACTTTTTCTGCTAAGAGGTTTTGCATTGATGATGTTATACGAATGGTCCTTCATTGCCTTCTGCTTAAGGAATTTATGAACACCATGATACTTACAGGGCATATTTTGGGGACCTCATAGTTTAAATAATTGTTTCTGTGTTCATAAGCATTTTCATTTACTTGTCTATACGTGTTGCTGTGTTTAAAACATGGGTTTCATCCTTTTCCCATTATCAATATTAAGTACTCAATTCTTCTATAGGTCATTTTTTATATAAATAAGCAGATATATATTGCACAGATTTTAGCTATTTCTATACCTATTTCACGGGTGATTCATCTTACTACTCTGGTGGTGCTTAAGGGAACTTTCTTATTGTAATTAGTTTAATCCAAATTATTCATTCCTTCAAAATCTAAAGTTTACACTTTTACCTAGTGAAAAAGATTAATCCAGGCACCTCAATCTTTATCCTCTTAGATGGATATATAGGAACTACTCTACTATGGTTTCTTCTGTAATACCAGTGACTTCCAGGTTAAGAGGGTAGGGATCTTGGTTAACATTAAAGAAAAAAATATACAAATATCAGCAGCAAAACTCTTACTATGCTCTTAGCTTGGGTATTGATGGGAAGTAAAAAAAGATCAGTGACTGGAAGAAATGAATGATGAAGGACCATCAGTCATTCAATAAATATTATGGAAAACATACTATGTGCCAATATTGTTCTAAGCACTGAGGATACATTAGCAAAAAGACAATGCTTATCCTTACGTAGCTTACATCCTAATGGAGAGAAAACTAATAATAAATTATAAGTATAAAGAACAACTAAGGTTACCAGATAAATGCAATTGAGAAGCATAAGCAGAATGAGTGTTCTTCCTTCACTTTCTCAAAAGAATGCACTTCATCGAGAAGGTAACAATTGATCAGAGACTTGAAAAGAGTCAGCGATGACTCTGTTCTATGCTGAAGGAACCACCAGTACAAATTCTCTAAGAAGGGAGTGAACAGGAATGTTTGCAGACTAGCAAGAAGGCCAGTGTGGCTAAAGCAGAGTGAGTGAAGGTGAACACAGCAGGAGATGCAGAGAGCTCGCAGAGAGGCAAGCTGACTCTGACTGCATGGATTGCATTAAAGTGCATTGTAAATCTTTATCCAAGTGGAGATGTAGTGTACAATTAGATGTAGTCTGCCATTTGGGAGAGAGTTCTGGGCTAGTACAAATTTAGGAGTCTTCAGGCTATAAACAGTATATTAAAATGTAAGACTGGAAGTTATCACCAAGAATATATCATACATAAAGAAGATAACAGGCCAGGCACTGTGGTTTGTGCCTATAGTCCCATATACTTGGGAGGCTGAGGCTGGAGTATCACTTGAGTTCAGGAGTTGGAGTCTGCAGTGAATGATTGTGCCCCTCCACTCCAGCCTGGGTGACAAGGTGAGACTCCATCTCTTAAAAAACACACACACACAAAGAGAGAAGAGGAACAGGACTGAGTTCTCAGAGATTCCAACATTAAGAGACCAAGAAAAAGATAAGGAAGAAAACAAAGATCATTAAAATTAGGAGCCAAGTTACACAACATGCTTCTTGTTTTCTAAAAGTTATGACTAAAATTGTATATACAAAATGACTTCAGTTATAAACTTAAAAATCCCTGTTTTGATGTTCATAGTTTGCAAAAGGTGGCATTTGTTTATGATCTTTTTTCGACAACCCTGTGATGTAGGTCAGGCTGATGTTATTATCTCCATTGTGACAATGCAGAAAGAGGATTAAAGAGATTTGCAATACTTTTTTGAGGTCACAGAATGAGTATGTTGGTTTTCAGGGGATTTGAAAATAATACTTTTGACACCACTGCATATGATCTTTCTACTATGTCCTGCCACACGACCCCTTACCACTCGCAGCTAACCCTGGACCAGTTTGCTTAGTTAGAAAGAGTTCTGTCATGAAGATCGTTGGCAAGGAGGGTTAAGAATATTAAAGAAAATGAAAAAAGCAAAACACATTCTTTATTTCGTAATTTTCTCTGTGACATTCCTACTTTAACCCATTCACAATTTTATTTCATTGAGGAGAAATTAATTTGGAATATAAACTTCCAGGTTTTTACCTAAGTTGATGCAAATATATATACACACTGTCACCATGTTTTAAATAGAAGTGAAATTATGCAATGCCTGTGTATTGGACTACAACCTGCTTTTTTCTACTCATCAATATATTAGGTACACTGTCGTGGGCCAGCTATAGAGTTGGAGAGTCCAATTTAGAAGGGGGATGGTGTCTATGTTTGGAAAATGTTCAGGTAATGGACCTTCGCCGTCTATTTTCATTGGGTTTTAACGCTCCTTGGGGCTCCTATACCCTCTTTGGATTATTTCACACAGAAATAAGTCACTACCCACAGTGAGGGAGAGTGCAGGAAAAGTGTGGATGAACACATGCAGTTGGTGGCTTGTCTTTGAATTCTTTGGGGATCCCTTTCACCTTTACTCTAGCTGCCTTCTTGCTGTCCAGATCTTCAAATTCTATGTTTCAGGTCCGTCTTTTCCCACTGAAGTACCCAGTTGCTAATTCTGAGTGAAAGTAGAATTGTGTTACAGTAAATCTAATCAAAGAAGAAATTCTACATCAGCATTATTTAAAAAAAAACTTAATCATTGTAGCTATCATTTTTTGTTTCAAAATGTCTTAACTTGAATTATTAATTTCTAGTACTGTGCAAGTTGGATAAGTTTATGTAAATTAGTACTTATAAGAAATATTTTTTATAAAATTAGGAGTATATATACATATATAATTATATATGTATATACTATGTAAGTATATACTTATGTAAGTGTATATACAAGTATATACTTATATATATCATGTATAGCACTGTATATATATAAATCACTATATATACACATATAAAGTGCTATATATAATATGTAAATATACATTTTTGATATGTCATATATACAATAATATATACATACTATATATGTATGATATATATCAATATTTTATGTATATTGACATATATAATGATATATGTATAAATCAAGCAAACCATTGGAAATTGATGATTCTGAAAGACTGCAAGTGTAATCTTGCAAGTGCCTTCACTTATATACCATATTAGGAAGAAAGAAAAGACCAGAATATATATGGTTATGGTATTTTTATATGAAATATTCTCTTACACATAATAAACTCCTAACACATTAAACTATCAGCATTATCCATGAACTTGCATTTAAACAATTATATTGCAGTTCTACCTTCTTCAATAACTGTAACTTTATTATTTTCACCTCTCGACTCTGATTGTTTATTTTATGAGATACACTTTATGGTACTTTCATTTATAGTAATTGGGCTATTCACTACATAGTGCAACAACTGGAAAACATTTTGCTAGCCCAAGTCTAAATCTTCGTAAACATGATCAATTTTGTAATAAGCAGAAGTTGTTAACATAGAAATAATTAATGTTTCCTACCTAAAACAACATCTAGGCTTCCTTTAAGTTAAAAAAAAAAGTAAATTTAAATTCATTGAAGTATGGAGAGGTAATCCTCATGAGTGAAAATTAATTGTTTTATAGACTTAGTAGCAGAAGAGCAATCCATATACAATTTACATTAATGCTAGCATGTTTGATTATGCATGCCCCTCTCGTCCTCACTCATCTAGAAAACCTTAATAGCAGAGTATTTTTACTAAAGGTCTTAATTTCACATTAACCATAACTTCATATAGTAAAAGCCAATGTAGAATAGCAGTGTAAACCAGTGCGTCTCAAAATTGGCTGCACATAGCAAACGGAAAAATAAGGCACCCACACCCAGATCCAACTACAAAGACTGTAAGTTAATTGGTCTGGGGTGGTTGCAGGCTTGGTATTTTTAAAAGGTCTCCAGACTACTCCAATGTGCACAAAGGTTGAGAATGACTGATGTAAACAAAGGACATAAATACTGGTGTTTTGAGTTATAATTTAAAAAATAATGAAAATCTTGTAACTAGTCACACTATCCACAAAAAGAATAATGCTATTTAAACAAAAATTAGTAAATCCAAATAACACTTTGGAAAATGTGGCATGAAGTATTTTTAAGCATTAATAACAATATTAAGGATGTGGGACATTCAGATACAAAGGATAAGCTTTATATATTTATTAAAGATACTTTGCTCCCTCAGTGATGACTTGGGACAAAAGGAAACATTTCTTTGGGAAAAAAGGTACATCACACAGCGTGGCATTTTCATTTAGAATGAAGTAAACTTTTAGAAAGTATTCATTTTTCTTTTTAAAGACATTGGATGAAGTGGTGAGCACAGATTTTAATCAATAATACACTACTGCAATAAGTAAGTGGGGTACATCATGAACTGAACTCAGCTTGAATTGGTACAGAGGTGACTGGGCATTTTTAAGGGAGAATTTTTAAGTAGAGAAGGGGCAAATAGGATCCAGGTGAGTTACTGACTCTTAGTAGAGTCAGGAAACCAAAAAATTGCAAAGTACTGGTCTTTATAAATGCTGATTAGGCCAGTCAGTCTGTTAGCTTGAAATTCTAGTTAGGATTCTATCCTTCCATAGACTGGGAAATAGAGACCCTATCCTTCCTGATGATTACATTTTAATGAAATGGCTTTCAGGCCCTGGAAAAAGACAATACTGAATTGTAGGACATACATATACATCTTAACACACAGAGAAAGGATTTACACTTATAAGCCCTTTTTAGTAAAAGCTCTAAGAAATGGTGGCCAGGGCCTTATCTTCAGGTGTTGGCTGGAACGAACAATAAATTCTTTTGGCAGCCTTGAGCTTTCTGAAGCAGGCACTTTAAGTATGGCTAGGGTCATCCTAGAAATATGGCCTTGAGCTTTAGAAAAGATGTTAGTATTTGCTTAAGTCTTTTATTGTGGGGAAAGGAGGAGGACAAAACTATTTGTGTTGAGAGGCTGTAGTTTGTGTAGGCCAGGGTTGAGGCCTAGTCAATAACATGGGCCTAAAGAGCCTGGCTAGAGTTTGGTCAAAGAGAAAATTGTTATCATTATCTTTGTCACTAAGATCTAATTGTACTCATCTTTTAGTTGTTTTTGTTGGACACTTATATCTCTCTCACTACCATGCCCCTTGATATTCCATCTGCCTGGAATATTCTGCTCTGTCTTCTTCATCTCAATAGTCATACTAAGCCCTCAGGACTCAAACAAAATGCTCCCTCTGCCAGGAGGCCTTCCCTGGCCACCTCTGTTCTCTGAGTTTGACTTAGTTCTCTTATTATTTTCTTCTATAGAACTCCATGCTACCCCAATCATTAAGCTTACAGCTGTGATTTTAAAGTCTGTTTTGTGTTAACCTTCATTAGACTGTAAACTTTATGAAGGCAGAATTTGTTCCATGTCAGCCTGAGCTAGTGGTTTAGCTTCTAGCCCAGTATAAGTTAAATATTTTTTGAATGAACACATGCTGAATTTTATCCAACATTACTCTGAATTGGTATCATATCCAATAGACGGATTGAGTCCTTTAAACCCACTGGGTAGCAGTGTCCTTCCAAGTATTGACTATAATGTCCTGTGCTGCTTTGTTAAAAGTGTGACAGAGATCCCTATCCTTATCAACATAACTGCATCTCAGCAGAGTTTGGCTCTTGCACTTCACTCCTTTAGCAATCCCAGTGTGTGGTCCATTTCCTCAGTGACCTGCTGTTTGCCTTTCCCCTTTTATCAGGTTCTCAACTTGACCTTTCCAGAACACCATATTGCTCTTATACTAATCTTCAACAGTAGTCATCTTAGTGAATGCTTCTCACTTCATCTTAGGATTTTCTGGTAATAAATTCTACTCATTTAATCAGGGACCCAAAAGCCTTCAATGGGGCAAGTTGTCTTGGCACTTATAAGCTCATCCTGACCTCTTTCATCCCCTCCAGTGGGTGGCTCCAGCGAATATAAGATGGTGTCTCTACTGTAAACTTCTAAGCTTCCTACATAATTTGCATAACTTTTTTTTTTTTTTTCCTTTAAGAGACAGGGCCTCATTCTGCTGTTCAGGCTAGATTGCAGTGGTGCAATCATAGCTCACTGCAGCTTCGAACTCCAGTAACTATTTGATGTTTTCTGGCATTTAATATTGAAATTAACATTAGCCAGAATAAGAAGTGTAATTAGCTGCTTGTGATAATCATGTTAGTAAGCATAATTTATTCTAAAACATATTACCTCATATTTAAAGAGTTTTAATCAAATAAAATCTATGTAGGATCTCCTCAAGATAGTGAGGACCTTAAAGCTAACTTAAAAATTATACAAATTAATTTATATGGAGATATAATTATTTCATACTCAATAAATATAGACTTCTGTAGACCCACTGCAGTGCTTAGGATATATGGAGTTTACAAGTAAAGAACTAAGCGTCTGTATCTCCTGAAATTTAAGAGAGAAATAGTAATGAAAGATTGTGTTGTACTTTAGATCACACTAGAATAATAAAGTGTCAAGAAAGTGAATACAAGCAACATTTAAAGTCTCATATGAAAAGTTATACCATAACATATTTTCCATAACATGGCATGTGAATAGGCTTCAAAAAATACTTGAATACCTTTCCATGGATTCTGTAGCTAATTCTGTTGCAGGAATGTAAGTTTGATTCCCTTCTTCATAGACGGTTAGTTCAAAGACTGAACAACTTTTACTCCATATGTTTTTTTCATATTTTTTCAAAAGGGAATGTGTCTATTCATTTTTTTTGCATAAATGCAAAATGCCAATATAATAATAATAGTTGATGCTTCCTGCTTGCTTGCTGTATGCCAGACATTGAGTGGCTTACATCTGTTTCCTCATTTATTGTGTTACATTGGTATCAAATACTCTTACTTGATTTAATTGCATTCTTTTATCTGGTGTCCTCTCTTGGGCCTTTCTCTGCTCTCTTTTTCGGTATTCCATTCCACTATGTTTTCCCCACCCACCTTCAGTCCAAATTATTCAACTGCTAATTATGCTACTCATGTTTCATTTTTAAAAACAAGTGCTTTCTTCACTTTATATGTCATTAGCCAAAAACCAATTTCACATTGGAGAAAAATATAAAAGCAGATTTTGTACTGAACTTCGACTGGTTTAGTCAAAACGGTGCAAGCAAGTGGTTTGTATGTATAAACTAGCTTTAAGTAAAAAACAACAGAAGCCCAAAACCAAAATAAATAAATAAATAAATAAAACCCATGAGCTGAAGAGGAGGAGTTCTCTGAATGTGAAGCGGTAGATTCCATAACAGTATAGGCTCTTTTATGAAGAAATCTGTGACAGAGGATGGAAGAAACAAAATAGTTCACAAAAGGTGTGGGTGAGGGGTTGACAAAGAAAATGTGTAACACAAAATGTGGACATTTGTGAGGTATGCCTCAGTGCTTTGCGTTCATAATTTGCATATTAAGAAGTCACGCGTCTGCACGTAATGAATCCCCAACTAGTCTCTGACACAATAGACTGATAGTCCCTGGAGGCGTCATTATGGCCTATCATGTCAATGATCCGCATATTAATGACTCTCTTATACGCTCATCAACAGGTAGCCTAATAGGCTTCCATTGAGTTCTTTTTCATTTGCTTTATAAATATATCCTCTCTTCTCTTCCTTTTGTAATACTATTGTGAAGAATTGACAAAAAGGTGCATTAAGATGATTTTAATGTGTGACGTAAGTTCATCAAAGCATTAAATTTAGAAATAATGCTTTAAGACTTACTGAATCTGCGTAGAAAACTTTTCAAATGCTGTTAAATACAAATCCAGTTTAATAATAGGGTTCTTGTTTGGATTTTAATGCAAACTAACCCAATTTACTGTATTTCTGTTTTCCCTGATACATTAATTTATGGCATGATTAGCATAAGTAGAATAATTTGAAAATATGTTTGTAAAATGGAATTGCTTGAAAATAGATATAAATTCCAACAGATTTCATATCATAGAGGCATCTAACCACTTATAAAAACTATAAAGCAGTAACTGATAATACAAACAAAAACATAGAGTAAATACTAGACATATATTTGATTGCATAGCAATCCAGAAATGTGCCCAGGATCTAAAAAATGACTTCATAGCTTCTAAAGTTAATATTTAAATAAGATATTCACTTCATTGTTGTGGCTACTTTTAACATTCTAACTTGCTTTGGCATGCTTTAATTTTATTAGTCCAAATTATTTAAGATATCTGGTGTTTTTTTTAACAAATGTAAAATCTATGATTTACCATAAAACATATTGAAGCATTGCTTTTCCAGTATTTTTATTGAGTTATGCATCATTTCACATGATTTACTCTCCAGATAATGGGAGGGCTATTGACACACATTTGAAATTCTTTGTCAAGAGCCAGGAATGAGATAGAAGCTGGGAAAAAAAGTTGAAGTTTGGTACTTTGTTCTCTTTAAAAAATAAACCACATGAAAACATCCCATCTTGGGGAACATTAGAGGCCACACATGCTCAGGTGAGTGGCTGCAGTTTGATGCTGTGAGCTCACACCTGCCACCCTATTGGGTAAGATATTCCTCTCCTGAGGGCTGTCACTTCTGAATGATTTGATTTCAAAGTTCGGAAGTCTCATGTCCTCCTGTATTCATTCCTTCTCCAAACTCTTCCAAACATATACTGAGAATATTGGTTTACATTTAAGATCACCTTTTCTTAACAACAGTTTTCAAAATAATATGTTAATTCAAATACTATAGAGTTTGGAGGTTAGAGCTCAATATTTAACAAATCAGGTGACTTAGGTGAAGTTTGCTGTAGATTCCGTGGAGGAAACAGGTTTTGTTGAAATGGAATTAGTTAACTCAGTGGTCATGACTCTAATAATGATTTTTTATACAATCACAAAAAATTAGCATCTTTATAAAGAAAATAATGCCTGAAATTTAGTATCCCTAGGAAAAAAAACACACATGACAATACACTGATTATTTTTGAAGGCTGTAGGTAGTATAAAGCTGTCAGCACTTACGTTGTGAGGAAATTGTGGAGACAGAATTGTGGAGATAAGACTTCTGAGGTGGCAAGACTCTCAGCTGGACAATCACTACTTTCTTGCTACCCACCTGTTCCAAGGGTGACTATTGTTTAAGAACGCAGGTAAAATAAGGACTTTAGGCCAATAACTTTGAGTTTTTTGTTAATGGTATCTCTCTGAAGTATATTCAGTTGTTCCAGTATCCATAGCTGAAAAACATTTGTATTTTTCTCTCGATTGAATATGATTGGCAGGTTGTAATGGAGTTCTTTGGGCCAGCTTTATCTGTAAGTCTTCTTCAGCTTACAATTTATGAATGCTGCTTGTAATTATATCTCATTCCAAAGCAACCTAAATGTTTTTTGGTTCGCACTTGGACCTCCCAGATTCTACTTAGTTATGCATTAGATCCTGACAATTGAGTGCCTCTTTGGAGAGTACACAGCTCTACAGAATTGCACATGGTGCCCAATCCAATCAGAGAATTAAGTCTAAAATGTCTTTTCTCCCTATTTCCTTTGGGGTGAGCTAGAAAAAAACACCACCACCTACCACTTTGTCACAACAAAGCAAATTTCGACCTGTTATCCTTGGTAGGAACTGAAGAGTTAAAAAAATGAAGAAACTTTTGAAGAGAGATTTAGCAAAGAATTCTCCAATAAGATTGTTTTTCAGTTGCTTTTCTGTCTGCTGTTGAAATTTCCTGGATCAATAAGGCAAAGTACCTCTTGTTTTCAGTAAGATCAAGCTCCGAGGTACTGGGCAATGTTCTAACTTAGATATTGAAATAGAGAAGATTTTTAGAAATGCAACAACTCAGTTTTATGCAAAGATGAAGATAATTCAATGAAACAATCTGGTCACAAACATATTGGTATGTTCTAAGTTACTTGAATGCTTGAGCAGTTTAGTACAGTTTCCCCAATGGACTTGTGGTTTTCCATGGTTTATAGTCACATTTTAAAATTAATAAATTAGCTTATATAATAGGTATATTCGATGTATTTTTCTTAATCAATTATAGATACTGGTAATGTTTTACTTTTGAAAAGGTTTTCTTTGCCATAAATAAAATATCATGGAAATAAACCATTCCATTACATGTAGTAGAAATAATATAAGACTAGCTCACAAGCTATGCAGGTGAGATTTCTGTGGTATTAAATTTAAATTAATAATACTGATCTTATGATTTAATTGACAATTTATCCTTGGCTATATTGCAATTTTAGGTAAGCAGTTATTTCTATTGATTCTACCAGCATTTTTGTTTTTGAAAAATATTAAGAATTTTTTCAATTAAATACCTCTAAATGATACTCAGAATACTCCTTTAAGTTATACAGATGTAGAGCTCTTAAACTGCAAGGCATGTTATTTAATATTAAAGCTGAGAAGTGAAATTGGTTCCATTTTGAGCAATGAAGGGGTTGATGGGTAGTGGCTGCCTGGCTGTGTAAAAGAAAGGTAGTGGGGCTCAATATGACCGCAGCAAGGAAGTCCCTTTATCTGTTATCAGAGCTTGCCATGAGTGTTAGAGAGAAAGGTCAGCATGAGTGTATTGTATTTGTGGCCTTCTAATCTAATCCAGAGCTTTCACTTTACACATAAGAAATGTGATGCCCACAAAAAAACAATGTGTCGGTCAAAACCAAAACAAAACGATGTGCCTTACTGTGTCAGTTATTAGTCCCCAGATTCAGCATAGAAGAATATAAAGACATTTTTTAAATTCTCACTGTTTCTCTTGAGATTATTTTTTGCTTCTTTCAATGCCTGTTAATCATGCCAAACTGTATTCATTTCGTTTTCATTTCTGGCATTATCATCAAGAAACTGAACCTAATGCATCTTTTCATCCTTAATTCCTTCTGCATAGTTCCTTAAATTTGTTTTTCCTCAGGCGCTTCTCTTCACAATTAGACACTGATCCCTCTTTTAATCAAATGTTCCTCTTCCACTTTTGGTTTTATTCCTGATCAAGAGAAGACTAGCCAGTACTGTAACACCAAAGGAAAATATATTAAGCTGTAGTAGTTGGCTAATGTATTATGAATTTTGCCTATTGTTAAGTATAAGTCTTTACTTTCTTCCTTTCTTCAATATATGAGTGGCTATGAAATGGCAGAATTCTAGAAAGTCAATTTTTAGAGAAGCTGCAACATAACATTATGAAAAGAAACAGTCCACAATACACTATATAATTATTTACCCTTGGAAAACCTGTTCGACATTTCTGTATGTGTCCACTTAGTGCCAATGACATACTACTCTTGAGTGACTTTTTAAAAAATCTCAAAGGAGGCTCATATTTCTGATTTTAAAGGTCATTTATTTTCCTTTCTTTTGTGGAGAGAAGGAGAGCAAAAGAAATGAGATCACAAGCTTTGAACAAAGAGGGCTGGTCTGAACTTGAGTAATTTCACATTTACTTTTTAGCTGTTTATCATAGAGTGAGAGGTGATGCCCAAGAATTCCAAGTTTGGTCCTGTTTAGAAAATTCTGAGCACTTTCAGGCTGAGTGTTAAGGAGACACAAATACAATATTCATGACTCACTTTGGCAATGATCCCTTTTCATGCCAACATTTTCATTCCTCTTAGAGCAGAGTTAGACTTTGCTGCTTACAACCTAATCCTGCCATTCACCTTAACTGGTTGGGTAATTCCATCACATCAGACTTAGACTTTGTGGCATAGATCTTTAAGAGGTTTTGCTCGTTTTTTAAGAGACATATGGGGTTTTAGCACAATGGCATTATAGGACCTTTGGAAAAACCATATTATTATACTAAAAATGACTACATTTTGACAGTGTTAAAATTAATTATAATTCCAAAAGCAAAAGTGCAACATATCCAGAAACTGCAGTAATATTAACATGGTGTCTAAATCCTGGCACTGAATAAATCAATTGGGTAATGAAAGAAGGTGCAAATTATCATGCCAGTGTACGTTGTATTTAGAGAGGATACTTTTAAATAAAAGGTTACTGTCACTGAAGATCTAATGATTTTTCTTTGAAGGGTGCTCTTCTGATAATAAGGGTATATTTACATGGCTGAGCAAGTATGCTATCATGGACTGCAAATTTTACTCTTAGAAGTACCTTGAATATTAAAGATATGAGAGAATATGGTAAACATTAAAAATATAGATAACTCAGAGTAAAAGAAGCAGCATACAAATTGGTTTTTGTGATAATGTAGAATTAATGATCAGTGTGCCATTTACTACATTTCCTAATAACAATAATAATTTATTAAACACTTTCATGTGTTGGAAACTATGCTAAATAATTACTCTGTGTTAGGAGTAGGCAAGATTTTAGAGAAAAATGAGGCGCAGAGAGGTTGATTAAGTATCTTGACTAAAGTCAAATGGTGAGTAATTGAGTTAGTAAGTGTTAAGTAACCGGAAATACTGAGATTTGCATGCAGGGTTTTTTTTTTTTTTTTTTTTTTTTTTTTTTGCTTTTTTTCCACCACATATTGACCCTTTATGGAAAGAACACTAACATAATGACTAAGAAACTTGGAGCTAGTTATGGATTTGCCACTAGTTGGTTGGTATGACTTCTGCCATATTGTTTAACTGGGCTTTAGTTTTCTTTTCTCTATAAAATGATGGGATGAGACAATCCAAGTATGAGGTCTCTTACAAATCTGAGAGGAATTTGGCATAAAAAGTAAAATAAATCTTTCTGTAAGTTGCATGGGGCTCAGAGGTAAAGAGTCTGTAGAACTCACATTTTTGAATGATTAATAGCTGACTTAGAAACACAAATTATTTTTGCTTACTTATTTTATTAGATAGGTTGAAAATGTCCTTCAATTTCTACCCCATTGATGTTTCATTATTTTATTCTGTAAGTCACAGATGATGATTGGTCTATTCTACAATGTGTTTCTTCTTTCCTGGGTGCATATGAGATACACAAACATTTATTCTTTTGTGCGTAGAGCTATGGCATAATTGTGTGTAACTTGCTGGAAAAGTTTGAGATGTAAAGAGGCACTTCGTGTACCACATTCCTGGAGTCTGAGTGTCTGTCTGCAGATATTCTTTTTTAATATATGTAGTTAGACAAGCACTAGTGCACCTCAGCTAACTCTGAGGTTCCAGTTAAAAATGCAGATTCCCACTGCCCACTCAGAGATGCTGATTCAGTAGATCCAATTTTAGTGCACTTCAGCTAACTCTGAGGTTCCAGTTAAAAATGCAGATTCCCACTGCCCACTCAGAGATGCTGATGCAGTAGATCCGATTTCTGGCCCCTGAATAGCATTTGTACCAGGTCATTTTCACATAGGAGGTCTGTGAACCACATTTTGAGAGGCACTGTTTGGGTTTGAATTTGTGCCTCTTAAGCTAGTTGACTACCAATTGGCTGGTGCCCTGGGCTTTTAGTCTTTCATTTTTACTAAATTGTATCTTGGATTACTTGACATGTTGAGAATAATTCTTTTTTTTTTTACTGATAAAGTTTTTGCATATAATGCCTTAAGCTTGGAATTGCTTCTCTCCTTTTCTCTAGCTAAGGCTTCTTATTTAGGTTTCAGCTTACAGGCCATGTCCTTCTAGAAGGTATTCCTACCCCACTCTGTTCCTCAGGGAGCACACAGTTATCATACCCTGGCGCTGTTGCTTTATGTACTTGTCCACTCTCCCCATTAGCTTGTGAGAGCAGGGACTCCGTCTTGCTTTTTTGGTAATCCAGCACAACATTTCACAATTGGTGGGTACTCACTAAATATTTGTTAAATGATGATGCATTGAATGAATAAATACAGATTGCTATAAATTTAAAATTGCTACTACATTTTACAAGTGTAACTATTGCCTGGAAAACATTCATTTCTTATGTTCAGGGCATATTTATTTAATGTCTACTAGAAGTCGTCACATAAAATTTCAATATTATGTCTCATTTCTTTGAAGTGAGGGAAAATTTACCGCAACTTATAAAGATAGTGCAAGCCTTTGTGCAATGATATTGTAAGGGAAAAAGGAAAAAATGTCAATCTGGGCATTTTCCATTCAACAAACACTAGTTTTCACTTCCCATTTGGTTAAAGAGTTTACAAGTTTAACATGTTTCCTTCAATAAAGCTTATCCTCTTTCTTTCACCCATGCTTTTCCTTTTAAGTCTCCATGTCAAGTAATGGTGGTTCCATCCTTTTAGATCTCCAAATTAGAAACCTCTGCATAATTCTTTATTTCTTGATATCTTAAGAGTTATGTAAATAGTAGCAAAGCATGCTTTAAACTCATATGAAACTAGTAAGAAGCAGGGCAACTGGGTTTGGGGCCAGGAATTGCAACTAAAGGAATGACTCTCCCACCTGTCTATCATCTAAGGAGGAGCAGCTAAATCCAGTGGGGCAGTGAGATGCATTGTTGTCCATACTAGGAGTTTGCAAATCTGGCCTCTCATCAAAATCATTTTAGGAAATTTTTAGCACCATCATTCTCTATTCCCCATCTTCACCTCCATATACAGGTCTATATTAATTTAGATTTTATAGAGGTAGGGCCTGAAGTTTTTGACATGAAAGGCAATTCTGGGAACTATTGTTATATTTGAGATCTACTGTATTTATGAGAGAGGGGAGAGACAACGTAACAGGGCTTCTAAACAGCTGAGATGTTTAAAGTTCCTTTGTGAACTTGATTTCTAGTTCCTTAGAAATTCATCTGGTAGAATGCCCCAGGGGGCCTTCTAAAGGTTGGTAAGAACTCCTTAGAATGTTATGGACCCAGGTGACTAGTGTGAATGAGAAAACATTTTATTTTCCTCAGTGAACGACTGGAATCAGAAACCTAGAAATAACTTGCTGGTTCACCATCTAGACATGTGTGCCAGAGGTTAGGGAGGAACCCTGAAAAAGGTGTCCACATAAACTCCTGGGAAGCAAGTCACCCAGCACATAAAACATCAAAACCAATCTGCAGACTAATTCAAGACCTTGCTGACTTGTAGTGCAGGATCCCTCAGTTAACTGTCTTTGCCTAGGTCTTGGAAGGGGCAACAATGTAGATTTCTAATTCTGATGAATGCGGCTGAGGTTGGGTAGAGAAGGGCATTAAAAAATCTATGTACAGCATATTGATGCTACAACAAAAATTAAAACTCATATTTGGTTCTTTTTCTCTTTCTTCATTAATAGTACCCTTTGCCCTTATCATTTTGTGCCTGAAATGTTTCAGGAGCCTCTGATTAGTCTTTCTGCTCCACTGTGGCTCATCCCGTCCAGTTTCTCCTCTACATTACCTCCAGAAATACGTTGGTAAATGTAAATCTGACCACGTCTCTCTCCTGTTTAGCCCTAAACCCCATGCCACTGGTTAAAAAGTACCTAAATAATTCAACCTCATTTTGCCAGCTATGCTAAGCCCTTTACAATCTGGCTTGAACTAATTCTCATTCTACCCCTTGGCATTCTTTCCCCAAACAGAGTCCAGCCCTCTGAACATTTTGTTGTTTCTAGATGTGACTTTTTCTTTTGTGCTTTTTTTTTTTTCCTTGAGACAGAGTCTTGCTCCGCCGCCCAGACTGCAGTGCAATGGCACAATCTCTGCTCACTGCAACCTCCTCCTCCCAGGCTCAAGCTATTCTGCCTCAGCCTCCTGAGTAGCTGGGATTACAGGTGCCTGCCACCATGCCCGGCTAATTTTTTGTATTTTCAGTAGAGATGGGGTTTCATTATGTTGGCCAGGCTGGTCTCAAAACTCCTGACCTCATGATCCACCCTCCTCGGCCTCCCAAAGTGCTGGGATTATAGGCGTGAGCCACCACACCTGGCCATTTTGTGCTTTTTTAGTCTTGTCTTTGGCGACCTGTTGTTCCCTCTGCCTACAATGGCTGTATTCTTTTCTAATTGGGAAACTTCTAGTTATCCCTAAAACCTAAATCAGAATGTTAGTAACTTTGAGATAAACTTCCTGATTTCTCCAACAGTCTCCTGATAACTTCTGTCCTTTCTTCTTATTTCTAAGAGAATATCTATCATATCCCATTGTTTATTATAATACTTATCACTTATAGTAATTATAATTACCTATTGATATGTCTATTTCCATCTTCACATTATAGCTTCATTGAAATAAGAAACTAGGGCATATTTATTTTCAGTTTCTCAGTGTTTGTTATAATTCATGACACACAGATATTTTAAAATATCTATTAGAAAAACCATGATTAAATAATATAGATGACTATATTATATAATTTAAGGTACACTGGAAACAAAGTATTGTTCCATTAATTAATTTCTTTTTTACTTTTTAATTTCTAAAATTATAATGATTTTAAAATTATGCTTAAATCTTGACTCATTATTGACTCCATAATTGAAAACATTGTCCTGAACTCTGAAGGGGTAATACTTTAAGTCTTAGAAGATAAACAAAAATATACATATTTTAAAATATTAGATTATTTTCTGAAATTAGATGAAGAAATAAGAGAAGAACACTGTCATAGTAATGTTGGCAAAAGGTAGAGAGGAGAAGGGAGGGTGGAGACGATGCTGTGCATTTATTCACTCAACAGCATTTCTTATGCCACTATTATATGTCAGGCACTGTGTTAGCCACAGAAAAATATGAAACTCTCCTTTATCAAAAAGTACTCGAGGAACATAAAGGTGAAATGAGAGATATTCAAAAGTATACTTTCTTCATGTCACAATTGTCATAGTTCTGGGCCCTATCATCATCAACCATCAATTTGTCTTTTTTCTCAAATGTTCTAAAGCTCTTAAATTCAACTCTTTAGATCTAATTGGTCATATGACTAGTACTTTGAATTTCAGAGTGGCCTCTAATGTGGGCCAGAGAGTACTCTATCTTCATAAATTATTTGAAACTAGAATTGAACTATTTATATATTTCAAATTATTAATAAGCACCTGCAAAACAACCACCCAAAACAGTGACTGAATTCTACTCATTTCATTTCCTGATTCCTTCTCCCTAATTTGACCCACCTGTATTAGTCTATTTTCATTTTGCTGATAAAGACATACCCAAGACTGGGCAATTTACAAAAGAAAGAGGTTTAATGGACTCACAGTTCCACATGGCTGGTGAGGCCTCACAATCATGGCAGAAGGCAAGGAGGAGCAAGTCACATCTTACATGGGTGGCAGCAGGCAAAGAGAGAGCTTGTGCAGGGAAACTTCTGTTTTTAAAAACATCAGATCTCATGAGACTCATTTACTATCATGAGAATGGTGCAGAAAAGACCCACCCCCATAATACAATCACCTCCCTCTGGGTTCTTCCCATGACACTGTGGGAATTGTGGGAGTTACAGTTCAAGATGAGATTTGGGTGGGGACACAGCCAAACCATATCACCGCCTGATATAACCATAATATCTTGAAAATCAAGTTATTTTTAGTGTAACTATTTATTATTAAATTATCCCTTGCTATATATATGTAATTTGTAATATATAACAAACCACAGAGACATACAACAAATGGATAAATCTTAGCAGTATAATATTAAATGAACCGTTCCAAAGTATAACAGAGGACATTCTTTTTATTAAGCTAAAAACTACCTATATATGTAAATAAAATTACTTGTCCCTTGCTATATACATAGTTATATATAAATTATACAGTTATAGCTATATATACCTATATATAATATTTAACATATTTATATAATATAAATTACAGAGTTATATATAGTTATATATAACTTTAATTTATAATATATATGGCAAGGGTCGTTTACATATATAGGTATATGTATATTTACATATATAGGTAGTTTTTAGCTTAATAAAAAGAATGTCCTCTGTTATACTTTGGAACGGTTCATTTAATATTATATTGCTAAGATTTATCCATATTGTGTGTTTCTGTGGTGTGTTAATTTTGATTGTTGTATAATATTCCTTTTTGTGATATTAATAGTTTTGTATCTATTCTTCTGTTGATTTGGGTTGATTCAAGACTTATATAGCTAACAATGACACTATGGACATTCCAGTTAACAATGACACCATGAACATTCTTTTAGATATCTCAGGTAATATATGCAAGAGTTTCTCTTGGGTATACACCTGGGAATGGAAGTAGTGGTCATCATTTATATAAATGTTGAATTTTGAAGATAATGTCGGTCAAATTGTTTTTCAAAGTGTTTTTACCTATTTATTCTCCCACCAGCAATGTACAAGAAAGCCTGGGGGCCAGGTGCGGTGGCTCATGCCTGTAATCCTAGCACTTTGGGAGGCTGAGGTGGGTGGATTGCCTGAGCTTAGTAGTTCAAGGCTAGCCTGGCAACATGGTGAAACCTTGTCTCTACTAAAGTACAAATTAGCAGGATGTCGTGTCACATGTCTGTGCCTGTAATCTCAGCTACTTGAGAGGCTGAGGCACAGGAACCTGGGAGGTGGAAGTTGCAATGAGCTAAGATTGCGCACTGGACTCTAGCCTGGATGTCAGAGCAAAACGTTGTGTCCAAAAAAATTTAAAAAAGCCTGCAGCTTCAACCATCTTCAGGTCTTGGTATTAACAGACTTTTAATTTTTTATCAATTAAATGAGTATAAAATTATAGCTCTTTGTGGTCTTGATTTCATTTATTCTCTAATAATGCTGACCGTCCCATTATGTGCTTATTGGCTATGTGTTTTCTCTTCTCTGAAATGTCTGCACCCTTGCCCCCCTACACACAATGAATTGTTTGTACTTTCTTGTTGATTTGTAGGAGTTCATTATGTATTCTTGATGCTTATTTGTGTTGATTTTGTGTAATGAAAGCATCTTCTCCCACTTTGTAACTTCTATTTTTACTGCATAGTCTCTTAATAAACATTTTAAATTTTACTACAGTTAAACTGACCAATTTTTTAAATCTTTTTTTTCTTTTTTCTTAAGAAAATATTTCCTACTCTTAGGCCCAGAAGATATTCACATATATTTTCTACTAAGAATTTCAAGGTTTTTGACATTTAAGATCTAAATCCAATTGGTAGCCATTTTCTCTCTCTCAACTTACTGAAAAGTACCATATTTCCTATTGTCTGACATGCTATGTTAGTCATATACCAATGTTCTGGATATACCATTTGTCATATACCAAAGTTCTAAGCTCTCAATCTTGTCTTATTAGTTTGCCTGACTCTGTACCAATATAACACTATCTTAATAAATAAATCTTCATTAAAAATACTTAATCTGATAAAAAAAGTTCCTCCTCCCTGCTATTTCTCAGAAACATTTTAGCCATCATTTGCCCTTTATTTTTCTGTTTGGAATAATATTTTCAAATTCTATAAAAAATGTTTTGGTGTTTTGATTAGTATTGAATTTGTAGATCAATTTGTGAGAGAATTGACATCTTCATAATATTTTCTATCTATGAACATGGTATGTTTATCAACCTTTTTAGGATTGTTGACATTCTTTGATATAATTTTATTACTTTGCCCATAGAAATCTTACGTATTTTCTGTTTTTGTTTATAGATATTTCATATATTTAAATTTCATTTATTTCTACTTTTATTTGTACTTGTCCCTGAATTTGAAGTTTTTCTCCTATATTTCTATATTTACATTTTAAGACACTAACATAAGAATACATAGTTGAATACTTATTTTATCCCCAAATAAGTTAAAGCAGGCTCCTGTCCTTTTGACTCGATCATTTTTTAAGAATTAAATTATATTAGAGAATTGAATTAGAGAAGTGATTGGTAGCATTTTGATTAGATAAGAACAAAAATCTTTGACTATTTTTCTTCTACAAATAATACTTTCAGTATTGTATGGGAATAGAGACGAAGCAGGAATAAATAAATGCTGTTTAATGGTTTATATATTTTTAAGCACATAAACATGTACATGGAGAAGGGAAGGTGTGTCAGCCTGCAGTTGGATTTCGTAAAAATAAACCTTGGCATAATTTTTGACCTCATTAAGCAATATGGATTCATAAATTCAGTATCAATTATGCAAGCAGTATATTTTTCTAATAAAATTATATTTATATAGAAGCATTATTTTCTATATGTGGGCCCACTAAAAATACCAAATGTTTTTAGTAAAGTTAAAATTATGAATCATAAAAATATATAAAACTGAATTATCTTCTTGCATGGTCAGGATGGAAGAATTTTCAATTTCTCATGATTTGTGAATATAAAATTGGCCTTCCTGGGATTTGGATCAGAATTGCTCATGCAATGAAGTCTAGACTCTTGTTACACAAATTTATCAGCCATTGCCAACTTTCCAGATTTCTTTTGTTGCAGAAAAGTCCTTGAGAATAGGCACCATAAGGAAATTCAGTTGAGAGAGTATAAGAAAATGTGTATACTGCGCCAAATATTTCTTATAATTGACTTGTGACATAACTATACACAAAGTGAGCTTTTTTTACCAACATTTTTCCTCCTGAGTTTCATGGACAAATCTAAATTCTAATGACTTCACAAATACAACTACAAATAGATTACATTTGAAGGAAAAAGGTATTTGTCTTTTACAATCAGTATGCAGGGTATGCTAGAAAAGGAAATGTAACCCAAATCATTTTAAAGAAGGAAAGTATATGCTTGCATATAAATGATCCAAAGTCTTGCTTTTAAAATTGGCCTGTGGCAATACATATATAAAGTCTTTTAACTGAGTATAAATTTAGCTGCCTTTCAGTTTTTTAGTTAGCTTGTTTCTTTCTTACTTTTACTTTTTGTGTTTTTTTGCTTTTCTGGAGAGAGAGTTAATGTTAGTCCAACTGGAAGAATTTTGAGTAAAATGGAACACAAAAAATTAATTGAAATGTTAGCAATTTCCATGACCATAAATAGACTGTCAGTTCATAAAATTTTATCATTAAGCCATGAGAAAAACATTCTCACTTGAAAAGATGAAATTCATTGAAGATAGAATAATCTACATTTACATATGTTTTTACTTTGGTTATATAAGTTTTAATATATTTTCTTAAATATTAAGAAATAGAGTGTGTTTCTGTTTAGAAATATGGCATTGTTTGAATTACTTTTAAATTTTTCTACAACCAATACTTACTATTGCATCATTCCAAAAAGATCATTTTTATTTCAAAACATCCCAAGTAATATAGGAAAATAAGAAAGGCTATATAATGTTTATTTGGCTTGTTACTGATTGAATTTCCCCCTGTGTAAAAATACTTAGAAGATGCAGTCCCAGAAAAACATATAACATTTTCTTTTAAATTTAACAGTAAAGAAGAATCATCAGTAACATCAGAAGAAAATAACTTTGAGAATCCAAAGAATACAGGTAATATTCTTCATTAATTTTAAAACCAAATTTGTCTCTTTTGTGAAAGTCTACAATTAAAACAATCTTACATAGGCACAATTATATTAACTTTTCAGATACCTATATCCCAACAATCATTTGTTCTCATGAGGACAAGGAAGATTTGGAAGCCAGTAATCGAAATGTAAAAGATGTAAACAGGGAACATGATGAACATAATGAAAAAGAATTAGAGTTGATGGTAAGTGTTCTGGTTGCCACGGTATTAGAGAAGATGAATCCATTTCTGCTTCAAAGATGCTGCAATGCCTGCCTTTCAATAGCTTCAACTAATATAATTTGCAAATGTGAAAGCACAGCCTATTCTGTCCTTGCGTCTCTAGCTTGATCAACAAGGCACTTTGATTTCTGTATGTTGCTTCTGGTCTCTGCAGTGGTAAATTAATGACATTCATTTCTTATCTCTTTACCAGTGGCTCTGAGTAATAGTTTGCAGGAATTACAGGAGAGGTAGCACTATCCTGATGTGCATTTCTAATCTTTGTGACAAGTGTATACTTAGCATAAACTCGTCTATAAAATGAGAGGGCTGGACTAGAGGATTGTTAGTGTCCTGTCCTACTCTAGAAGTCTATGATTCTCACATGTAACAGCATTTTTTAAAAAATTCCATCCTTGTGAGAATCTCCAAGTTCTATATCATTGTAGAGTATTAAATTACCAAGTAAAAAGAAAATAGCCTGTGCCATAATTTTAAAACAGGAAACAAATTCAGTACTATACAACTTAGTATTAAATTTGTTATAAATTTCATACTTGGTGAGCATTCAATCTATTTGGAATTTTTTGGGGGGATGGTTTATACAGCACTTTTATCACAAAGGAAGAAATAGGAGTAAATGAGTCACATAATGCAATTTATCCTTTACTGTATTTGGATGGAGCTCATATCATTGGAATACATGGATTCATAATCATCTAAGATTAAAATGACATTTGTCTCTTCAAGTGTCAGTGCTGAAACAGGAAAGAAATAGAGCTCATCTATTTCCCCACATATTCCACCTTTTCTATAGTGATCGCGGAGCTGCATCACTAAAGTATGCAATTTACTTTGCTCCAACTTTAAGAAACTACAAAGTTGTCACCCATTGTGAGAATTCTCACCAGCTGAAAGTTAACATGGCCATTTTTTTCAAACCACAGAATATAATGAAAGGGCCCTGAAAAATCACATACTTCACCAATACATCTCATTACGATGAGCAGGCTCAAATATAAAAGTTTGTTTAGAAGTTACTGAGATTGTACATCCAATAAATGAACAGGGAGCTGTAATTTAGATGCTAATTTGCTCCATGCTGACGTTAATGCATAAAACAATGAAGCTCTATAATAGATGGAAATACAACCAAATCTGTGGAACCCACAGGCATTGGCTTACAAGACAGCTGTGCAGTTGACAAGTAACATGAGCCTTATGTGAGAAGAAGGGGAAAACGTAAGATTTGCATATAATTATTGAGATCATGCAAATGTCAGTTATGAGGAGAAAAAAAAAAAAACACAGGCATCTCACTGTTAAATCCTGACAGTTGGCATCACTGAAGAGCTCAAATACATTTGAGTACCAGTTGGCAGAGGGTCATTAAAACAGAATTTGCAGAGACATTAACTCCCTCACTTTTCTTTGAGTGACGTTTTGCTATTAATAGTTTGCAGAGGCTTTGCAGAAAACATATTAATAAGAGAAACTGTAATGGGGGCACCTACAGCAAGTGTAAATGCAGCAAGGGGCACCCAGGAAGCTGCTGTCTAATTGATTAGCATGGAGCTATCAATGTGTATAGTCTAAGTGAGGAGAAAGTGCAATGACAAGCAAGAACAGTTGAATAATACAATGTGATAGTTGGAAGCTGGGAAGGAGAGTGATAAATTTGGGCCCCCTTTCTTACTAATCTCGTTCCCCAGTCATAGCCTGCAAGGATTTCCCCAAAACATCTGGCTTCCAGAGTTTATATGAAATCCACAAATGAAATCAGTCAAAGAAATCTACCAGATAATTACTAGCCGAGTTAATAAAACCTATCTAATTCACTATATATTTTAAAAGATCTTATGGTCATTATTTCTTTGTTGTTTTTATCCCATAAGATAAATCAACACTTAATAAGAACCAGAAGTACTGCTTCCAGAGATGAAAGGAATACATTTTCAACAGATCCAGTCAATTTTCCAAATAAAGCAGAGGGGTTAGAGAAGAAGCAAATCCATGGTGAAATATGTACTGACTTGTTCCAAAGGTCTCTGTCTCCAAGTTCAT
Source organism: Homo sapiens (assembly GCF_000001405.40). Classification (NCBI taxonomy): domain Eukaryota; kingdom Metazoa; phylum Chordata; class Mammalia; order Primates; family Hominidae; genus Homo; species Homo sapiens. The sequence goes on along the minus strand of NC_000007.14, from coordinate 113,879,956 downwards.
CAGCAGAAAGCTCCGTAAAGGGAGATTTTTACTGCAATGAAAAATATTCCTCAGGAGATGACTGTACACATCAACCTTCAGAGGAAACTACTTCAAATATGGGAGAAATCAAGCCATCATTGGGAGATACTAGTAGTGATGAACTAGTGCAATTACATACTGGCAGCAAAGAAGTCCTGGATGATAATGCTAATCCAGCCCATGGCAATGGCACAGTGCAAATACCTTGCCCCTCTTCAGATCAACTAATGGCAGGAAACCTTAATAAAAAACATGAAGGAGGAGCTAAAAATATTGAAGTAAAAGATTTGGGATGTTTACGAAGAGATTTCCATTCAGATACGTCGGCATGTCTCAAAGAATCAACAGAAGAAGGATCTTCTAAGGAAGATTATTATGGCAATGGTAAGGATGATGAAGAACAAAGAATATATTTAGGTGTTAATGAAAAACAAAGAAAAAATTTCCAAACAATCTTACATGACCAAGAAAGGAAGATGGGTAACCCTAAAATAAGTGTGGCAGGGATTGGAGCTAGTAACAGAGACCTGGCTACTCTGCTGAGCGAACATACCGCAATCCCCACCCGGGCAATCACAGCAGATGTGTCTCATTCACCAAGGACAAATTTAAGTTGGGAAGAAGCTGTGTTAACCCCAGAGCATCATCATTTGACTAGTGAAGGCAGCGCTTTAGGAGGGATAACTGGTCAAGTTTGTTCATCAAGAACTGGAAATGTTTTGAGGAATGATTATCTTTTCCAAGTTGAAGAAAAATCAGGTGGGATTAATTCTGAAGATCAGGATAATAGCCCACAGCATAAACAAAGTTGGAATGTTCTGGAAAGTCAGGGAAAATCAAGAGAGAATAAGACAAACATAACAGAGCATATCAAAGGACAAACAGATTGTGAAGACGTGTGGGGAAAAAGAGATAATACGAGGAGTTTGAAAGCTACTACAGAAGAATTGTTTACCTGCCAAGAAACAGTGTGCTGTGAACTGTCTTCTCTAGCTGATCATGGCATTACTGAGAAAGCAGAAGCTGGTACAGCCTATATAATTAAGACAACATCAGAAAGTACTCCAGAAAGCATGTCTGCTAGAGAAAAAGCAATAATTGCTAAGCTACCTCAAGAGACAGCACGAAGTGACAGGCCCATCGAGGTAAAGGAAACAGCGTTTGATCCACATGAAGGGAGAAATGATGATTCACATTATACCCTTTGTCAACGAGATACAGTAGGTGTAATCTATGACAATGATTTTGAAAAGGAATCACGTTTAGGTATTTGTAATGTACGTGTAGATGAAATGGAGAAGGAAGAAACCATGTCTATGTACAATCCTAGGAAGACACATGACAGGGAGAAATGTGGCACTGGAAATATAACATCTGTGGAAGAATCCTCATGGGTCATTACAGAATATCAAAAAGCAACTTCAAAACTGGATTTACAGTTGGGAATGTTACCAACAGACAAAACTGTATTTTCAGAAAACAGAGATCTTAGGCAGGTTCAAGAATTATCAAAGAAAACAGACTCGGATGCCATTGTGCATTCTGCTTTTAACTCAGACACTAATAGAGCTCCTCAGAATAGCTCTCCTTTTTCCAAACATCATACTGAAATTTCAGTGTCAACTAATGAGCAGGCAATTGCTGTAGAGAATGCAGTTACTACCATGGCTAGCCAACCTATTTCTACGAAATCAGAAAATATTTGTAATTCAACAAGAGAAATCCAGGGTATTGAGAAGCACCCTTATCCTGAGTCTAAACCTGAAGAAGTTTCCAGAAGTTCAGGAATAGTGACATCAGGTAGTAGAAAAGAAAGATGCATAGGCCAGATTTTCCAAACAGAAGAGTATAGTGTGGAAAAATCTCTAGGGCCAATGATTTTAATCAACAAACCTCTTGAGAATATGGAAGAAGCAAGGCATGAAAATGAAGGATTAGTAAGCTCTGGGCAATCACTATACACTTCAGGTGAAAAGGAATCTGACAGCTCTGCTTCTACTAGTCTTCCTGTTGAGGAAAGTCAAGCTCAAGGCAACGAATCTTTGTTTTCAAAATATACCAACTCTAAAATACCTTATTTCCTTTTGTTTCTGATATTTCTTATAACTGTCTACCATTATGACTTAATGATTGGCTTGACATTCTACGTTTTGTCATTGTCCTGGCTATCCTGGGAAGAGGGTAGACAAAAAGAGTCTGTCAAAAAGAAGTAACCTCAGCACTACTATTCTCTCTTAAAAGATAAGCTATTTAACCCCAAACATTTGGATTGGTGAATGGGACTATTCATTGTTCAAAGATCCAGTGCAGTTTTTCTCTTGAAGGATCATTTAAAAAGGGACGCGAATAAGTTTGCTCCTTCATATAAGTAATTATTCTATATAGGACCATTATGTTTGGATCATTAAATACCTATATGAATATGAGATCTGAAGCACGTCAAGTTGAAATTAGGTACAGCTGTTGCTCCTTAGCAGGCTATGAAGTTGCAATGCTTCACATCTCTTCACTACTTAAAGTGCTATTTCTTGCATTCATTTCTCTTGCAATAAAGCTTCATTTTTTTTTCCCCTTGAGAGTATATATTTTCCCCTACGGTTTTAAAAAACAGATAAAACATGGACAATGGCAGAGGACTTTTTTGGTCTTTTAGTATTGAACATGAAATTTGTTCAATTTATCATTTATCAGGATTCATTGATCAAATATTTCAACCTTTCATATTTTTAAGAAAACACCCATATATATTGAAATGCAAACTTAAACATATTCTGTTCACTTGAGTGTAATACTTGATGCATGCACACACACACACACATACCTTCTTTATAGCTACAAAGTCAGGGCGTTCATAGGCAAAATCTGACAAGACTGAAACAATTGGGAGATTATCTTTCAATTCTGAAAAATTCTGTGGGTGGCCTGTCTTTAAGCAATGCTTTTCTCTTGTGAGGGAAGACTGTAACACAGCTGAACTATTTCAGTGTCAACTATTCAGAATTGAAAATGTAAATTAAAATTTCCACAAGCATTGCTTCAGAATGAATTTGTACCTATAAAGCATAAGGCATTAAATGACAATAAAAATTCCAAATGGACTATTTGTTCCACATTGTATTTTTGTCTTCAAATATTTTCTAAGAGAATGAATTATCCCCCAAAATGCATTTAGAAAACAGTCTTTGGTGATATTTATTATATGATTATCAGGTTGTTAGATGATAACTCAAAATTTTCAGTAGGCAAATAGGTAATGTGGAAATCTGAAGAAGAAATGAATATCCAGTATAGCAGTGACTTTGACTGCTGTTATTACCTATAGCTAAGTGTGTATGATAATGAAACTCATCATTTTAGTCAAGTAGAGGCAATGCAAAGATTCACATAGTTTATTTCAACTATTTATTGAATGATTACTATATGCAAAACTCTGTGCTCTGTTCTGTGGCATAGAACTTCCTTTGATATGCTGCATAGCTAGTTCTAGGCATAGGTACGTAGTGTGACACTTCTGACTTCACTGAAATTATGGAAGAAAGACACCCAGAGGAGGCCTCTTTGGTTGGTTCTTTTTTCATAGGAAATTCCTTCATAAAACATGTAACACTGATCTTCAGATAGAAAAAGCAATCTGTTTATTTACCTGTAAGGGCAAAGTCAATGAGTACAACTTGCATATGTCATCCCATATAACTAAGACATATGCATTTATGGGAAGACAAAACAAGAATGAAACACTTATACTGACTTTCATCTGGTAGTAGATGATTTCCTTAATTTTTATTAGGTACGTAACTATTTCCAAATCCTCTAATTGCATACTACTCTCAAGTCCCATTGAAAATGAATGCTTGACTTCAACTTTTTAGTTGACCAAATACAAACATCCTAAAGTAGAGCTTAGGGCAAATATTTGATTGAGAGGGCACAATTTCATTCAGTACAAGAGAAGTACTGTAAGCAGTACCTAGAAATAATCTCTAAAATTGCTATCCTGATAATTTTGTTGACAGGTCTAAATTACAATGAAGTTAAGGTTAGGATTTCCTTAGTTCTTAATGTCTCAGTTTTTGAATTCTACCTTTAAGGGTTTTAGTCAACATGCCATATCTCATTATTGCAGAGAACACTACATTACTTTATGAACACAGGTGTCTGAGCTAGAATTATTCTCTTAAAAGACAACATAACTTTTTATGTCTTTTATTTACTTTTTGGTAATATTAACTTACCAAATCTTCTCCTATGCATTTTTAATATGACAAAACAAATTTTAAAAGATTTGAAATAATTGTATTTCTCTGAATTCAGTGAAGAAATAATTCATGATTCAACTGCATCTCCAAACATTACTCATGACCTTGAAATAAAATAGGAACCTATGAAACTATTGATATGTGAATAGATGGGTTATTTCAACCTGTTTTGGTCACATCACTATGCCGAGCAAGAAAAGTGGATCTCAGGGAGGACTAGCAGCCCCTGGTTAAGGGAGATCTGGCTGTGAGTCATCATGGCAAGGGTAATCTTTACAAGCATAGCTGCCTGCACTCTGTCTCTCCAAGTACTGGTTAAGGCCCAAATGAAGGCATGTCAGGAGAGTTAGAGGTGCATCACACATCCGCTTCATATGTTGGGTAAGAAACATAACTTAGTCTTTATTTTGCTGGGCTTCTGACTTTTAGAAACAAAATTCTAAAAATTTGCAAGTCAAGTAAGTGTGGGTAGCAAAAACAATTATCTTTAAAAAAAAAATCACATCAGTATAGGCCATCAATATCACAATAGATTTCTCAAGGTAAGAGAAAATAAGCTCATGAGATGACATTCACCCTTCAACATAAAAGAACATTGGGTTAATGCAGCCTTGGTTTCCTGCTGAGCTCCAGTATTTTGATAGTTAATTATTTCAACTAATATATCTATGTCTATATCATCTATCAATTTATTAAGCAGGTCTATCTTTAATTTGTTATCTCAAACCAGTCTGCTGGTTAAATGGAAACTTAAAAATATCCATGGCAAGCTTTGTATATAAATGAACAAAAAAGCAAGCAAAGCAAAACAATAAACTAGCAGAAGAACTAGTAAAAATACAAGCAGATTCCTCTACTGATTTCTGTTTTTGTGATCTCTGACTTTCCTTTCAAATTTTTACTGAGAATATCGAAATTGGATTATGCAATAGGATCTTATTTAGTTATTTGAATCTGTCTTAGCCAGTTCCTGTAGAACTGAGAAATAAGATTGACTTTGAATCTGCAACAAGATCTGAAATAAATGAGAAGCCAAGCTCTTCAAGCACCTCTATCTCTGTACTCCTATATGAAGAGAACAGTAAAAAAAATTACTGGTATTTATTTGGTTAAATTCATTTGCTTATTTTTTCTGTTTTTGGAAATAATTTGTAATAAAAATCATGGCAACATAATTCACTTTCCATCTTTTAAAAATATATTTTGCCATTAATCCAATATGTTTCCATCACTTTGCCAAAACCTATTTAAAACAGTGAATTAAATTTTCACTAGGTTTGAATGATCATGTTTTATAAGAAATGTCTTTATTTTAGTGTGTTAAAACCTTATTAAACAAACAACTGTTTAAAAAGCATAACATTTTTATTTTGTGTCACTTCTACATTTTTTAAATGCATTCATATTACTTTCATTTTTCAAATATGAAACAAATGTGAAAATTTGATGAAGTCCCTTTTTCCTAACATACTCAATTCTTTGTATTAATGGTAATGAAGAGAGGCATGGGTAAAACAATAGATTATAGATAAATTACCTTTATTTAGCTGTGATGCCTCCAACATATGATTTGCAGCAGATTTCAATGCCTAATTAAACTGGCCTTGGTTACAATTGATGCATCTTCCTACTCATACCCCTACTGAGTGAAACCATTCAACCTTATTTCTCACTGCTCCCTGTCTCAAGCCCTTAGTCAGTGACATCATCCCCAGAACATGTCATAGGAATCTGTACCTCCATGACTGTTCATGTATGCCTCCCTGCCTAAAGGACACGTTCGGTTATCTCTACTTCTCTCTTCCTGTCCAGTTCTGCACACTTTGCTATGGAAATTCAAGACCCTGTCTTTTGGAAGTATCCTGTTTCAGTCAGTAGGATCTCTCCACTTTCATATCTCTGACTAACCTTCTTCTTGCATGCACTAGGGATTTGACTCATTCTAACTGGACTGTCTGCTTGTTCAAGATGGACAAGGTTTCCTATCACACTGCAAGGTCTAGTTTGTAGGAATATTCAGTCAATACTTGTGGATAGAATTGAATTGCAATGAGGTCTTTATTATCCTTAAAATGAAGACAGGATACTCTGAGGTCTGATTTAAAAAGGAATAAATTTAACTGAATCAAAACTAGAGTGCTTTAGTAAACTACCAAACACAAGGTTGAAAAAGGCAGAGACATTGAGAAAAAAAGGACAGAATCGTATAATGGATTTGGGAGGTAGGGAGGAAAGAAACATCCCCTTTTCTCTCCATTTCTCTTAAGAATTAAGTTGATTTATTGTATTTATAATTTTTTTCTAGCACATGAATCATTCCCTTTATTTCATGGGAATAAAATACCAATTATATGTTAAAAGAACAATAATGCAAACTTAAATTCACTGGCTAAGGTGAAAATAGAACAAGACATGTTTTCAAATAAAGTAGCTCAGTAGCTTAAAAACCAACAAACATCACAAGACATAAAGTGTAAGAAACTCAATCTTCTTAACTGCTGCCGTGCCCTTTGAAAATGGCTGATCTTTCAGTTTTGCACCTGTTATGCATGTCAACTTTTAGGATAAACAAACAGAACAACTAGAAAAAATAATCAGTGGATTTTTTTGAAAAAGAAAGCATTTGCTTGATTAATATATGAGTACCCACCCAGCAGCATACACATGATTTTAACATTCAATCAGTGACAAATGGCAGAGAATACGGTCTACTAATACTTCGTGTAGTGATGCATGTAATGTGTGGAGGTTCATTCTTGACGAGATTCATCATATCAAACTCAGATATGAAATTAAAATGTTAATACAAAGACATGTCTAATTTTGAGGCAGAGTCCAAAGGAAAGAAATGTAGCCTAGAAATGTAGTAGCATGTCACGCAACAGCTTAAGACTATTGGCAACTAGTATCTGAAGGCTCAAAGAAAAGCCAGATACGTGTCTATCATACGGTAGAATTCAATAATCCTGTATATGATTGACTTGGTTCTGAGTGGAAACAGACTTAAAATTTCCTTAAAGACAAACTCTATAAAACATAATATCAAACAGCAGAGAGATGGTGCTTAAAAATCATTATGAGTTTAGAAATTCTCTTTGTAAACACTTAACCCATAACCTACTTTTAGTAATTTTATGTAGGAAGCTTTTATGTTAGAATTTGTAAACATTTTTAGCATAAAGTGTTTATAGAAAAATACATTTAAATCATTTTAAACATACACACTAAAAAGATATTTTTCTACATATTAAATTGACTTCCCAATTAATACATATTTGGAAAATCCAATTGTCCTTTTTTCTTGATGCAAATACTACAATTTCTTTGTTTTTAAGTGAAATGGTGGAGTCCTACCTAAAGAAGGGAATAAAGAAAAGATTATTTCCTATCTTCATAAACATGTGAAAATATTTTAAATACATTTCTACTCTTTGAAATTTGGAAAAGAAAATAGAAAGTAAAGATAATGTTTTTCATATTTTCATAATCTTTTGCTTTTATTATTTTTAATTGACAATTGTACAAATGAGTACAGTGATATTTTGATATATTTTTACAATGTGTAATGACAAAATCAGGGCAATTAACATATTCATCACCTCAAACATTTATCATTTATTTGTGTTGAGAATATTCCAAATCCACTCTTCTATTTGAAAATAAACAATAAATTGTTGTAAATTCTGTTCTACTCACCCTAAGTACTATAGAATGATAGAATGTATTCCTCCTATCTAGATGTGATTTTGTGTCCATTAGCCAAAATCTCTGACAATTTCTATCTATCCCATCCATTCAAACTCCTAGTAACCACTATTCCAGTACCCTCTACTTCTATAAGCTCAACTTTTTAAACTTCCACATATGAGTGAGACTATATGGTATTTGTCTTTCTGTGCCTGGGTTATTTCCCTTAACATCATGTTCTCCAAGCTCATCCATATTGCTACAGATAACAGGATTTCATTTTTTTCATGGCTGAGCAGTATTCCATTGTGTATATATACCACATTTTCTTTATCCATTCATCTATTGATGAAAACTTAAGTTGATTCATATCAAGGGCTATTGTGAATAGTACTGCAATAAACATGCTTCAGTTCATGGTTCAGTTCAGAGGTCTTTTTGACATACTGATTTCCTTTATTTTTCATAAATAGCCAGTAGTGGGATTGCTGGATCATATGGTAGTTCTACTTGCAGTTTTTGATGAAACTCCATATAGCTTTCCAAAATGGCTTTACTAATTTACATTCCTACCACAGTGTATCAGGTTCCTCCTTTCTCCACGTTCTTGCCAACATTTGTTGTATTTTATCTTTTTGTTGATAGCCATGCTGATTGGAATGAGGTGATATTTTATTGTGGTTTTGATTTGCATTTCCCTGATGATTAGTGATGGTGAGCACTTTTTGTTAAATATACCGATTGGCCATTTATATTCTTATTTTGAGAAATGTTTATTCAGCTCATTTGCTAACTTTTTTTTCTCATCTTTTTTTTCTTCTTTTTTTTATTATACTTTAAGTTTTAGGGTACATGTGCACATTGTGCAGGTTAGTTACATATGTATACATGTGCCATGCTGGTGTGCTGCACCCACTAACTTGTCATCTAGCATTAGGTATATCTCCCAATGCTATCCCTCCCCCCTCCCCCCACCCCACCACAGTCCCCAGAGTGTGATATTCCCCTTCCTGTGTCCATGTGATCTCATTGTTCAATTCCCACCTATGAGTGAGAATATGCAGTGTTTAATCAAGGTACTTGTTTACTGGCTGAGTTGTTTCAGTTTCTTGTATATTCTGGCTATTAATTCCTTGTTGGATTAATATTTGCAAATATTTTTCTACTGATTGTCTGTTTACTCTGTTCATTGTTTACTTTGCTGTACAGAAGCTTTCTAGTTTGATATAATCCCATTTGTCTACTTTCGCTTTTGTTGTCTGGGCTATTAAGGCCTTCTCCATAAAATCTTTGCCTAGACCAATGTCCTGAAATATTTCCCCTATGTTGTCCTCTAGTAGTTTCAAAATTTGCGGTCTTACACCATTTATGTCTTTAATTCATTTTGAGTTGATTTTTTTAATATGATGAGAGAGGTCTAGTTTTATTCTTCTGCATATGGAAATTCAGTTTTCCCACCACTATTTATTAAAGAGAATGTCTTTCCCAAAGAATGTTTTTGTTGCCTTTGTCAAAAATCAGTGGCTGTTTCTAGTTTCTCTGTTTTGTTCCACTGGTCTATGTGTCAGTTTTTATGCCACTACCAGGCTGTTTTGGTTTAACTTTGTAGTATACTTTAAAGTCAGGTGGTGTGATGCCTCTAGTTTTGTTCTATTTCCTGAGAATTGCTTTGGCTATTTGGGGGTCTTTTGTGGTTTCGTAGGAATTTTAGGGTTGCCTTTTTCTATTTTTGTAAAGAATTTCATTAGAATTGTGATAGAGATTGAACTGAATCTATAGATTGCTTTTGGCAGTATGGTTATTTTCACAATATTAATTATTTGAATCCATGAACACAGGATGTCTTTCCATTTGTGTTTTTTTTTTCAATTTTTTTTCTTCAGTGTTTTATAGTTTTTCTTATAGGGATCTTTCGCCTCTTTGGTTAAATCAATTCATAGGTATATTTCGTGGATATTATGAATATAATTGTTTTCTTAATTTCTTTTTTTGCTAGTTGTTGGTGTAGAGAAATGCTATTCATTTTTGTATGTAGATTTTATTGCCTGTATTTTTACTGAATATGTTTATCAGTTTTAAGGGTTTTTTGGGAGAGTTTTTAGGGTTTAAAAATATGTATATAAGATCATATCATCTTCAAACAGGAACAAATTGACTTCCCCCTTTCCAGTTTGGATGCCGTTTATTATTTTCCCTTGCCTGATTGTTCTAGCCAAGACTTTTAGTACTATGTTGAATGAGAGTGGTGAAAGTAGACATTACTGTCTTATTCCAGTTCTTAGAGGAAAAGCTTTTAACTTTTTCCTGTTAGGTATGTTAGCTGCGGGTTTGTCATATATGGCCTTTATTGTGTTGAGGTAGGTTCCTTCTATACCTAGTTTGTTGAGAGTCTTATTTATGCAGGGACATTAAATTTTATCAGATGCTTTTTCTGCATATATTGGGATGATTATATTATTTTGTTGTTTATTATATTAATATAGTGTATCATATTTATTGATTTGTGTATGTTGAACCATCCTTACAACCTTAGGATAAATCCTACCTGATCATGGTGAATGATTTTTTTAATGTGTTACTGGATTCAGTTTGCTAGAATTTTGTTGAGGATTTTTTAAAATCTATATTCATCAGGCATATTGGCCTGTAGGTTTCTATTTTTGTGTGTGTATCCTTAGCTGGTTTTGGTACAGGGTAATGCTAGCCTCATAGAATCAAACAAATAATGAATTTGGAAGAATTACTTCCTTAAATTTGCCTGCCTGCCTGCCTGCCTTCCTTCCTTCCTTCCTTCCTTCCTTCCTTCCTTCCTTCCTCTCTCTCTCTTTCTCTCCCTCTCTCCCTTTCTTCTCCCCTTCTCCCTTTCTCTCTCTCTCCTCTCTTCTTTTCTATCTTCTTTTCTTTCTTCTTTTCTTTTCTTTTTTCTTTCTTCTTTTCTTTTCTTTCTGTGTCTGTCTCACTCCATTGCTGAGGCTGGAGTGCAATGACGTGTTCATAGCTCACTGCCATCTCAAACTCCTGGGCTCAAACTATTCTTCTGCCTCAGCCTCCTGGGTAGCTAGGACTACAGGTACATGCCAGGAATGCCTGACTAATTTATTTTTTATTTATTTTATTTTTTATTATACTTTAAGTTTTAGGGTACATGTGCACAATGTGCAGGTTTGTTACATATGTATACATGTGCCATGTTGGTGTGCTGCACCCATTAACTCGTCATTTAACATTAGGTATATCTCCTAATGCTATCCTTCCCCCCTCCCCCGACCCCACAACAGGCCCTAGTGTGTGATGTTCCCCTTTCTGGGTCCATGTGTTCTCATTGTTCAATTCCCACCTATGAGTGAGAACATGTGGTGTTTGGTTTTTTGTCCTTGTGATAGTTTGCTGAGAATAATGGTTTCCAGCTTCATCCATGTCCCTACAAAGGACATGAACTCATCATTTTTTATGGCTGCATAGTATTCCATGGTGTATATGTGCCAAATTTTCTTGATCCAATCTATCATTGTTGGACATTTGGGTTGGTTCCAAGCCTTTGCTATTGTGAATAGTGCCACAATAAACATATGTGTGCATGTATCTTTATAGCAGCATGATTTGTAATCCTTTGGGTATATACCCAGTAATGGGATGGCTGGGTTAAATGGTATTTCTAGTTCTAGATCCCTGAGGAATCACCACACTGACTTCCACAATGGTTGAACTAGTTTACAGTCCCACCAACAGTGTAAAAGTGTTCCTATTTCTCCACATCCTCTCCAGCACCTGTTGTTTCCTGACTTTTTAATGATCGTCATTCTAACTGGTGTGAGATGGTATCTCATTGGGGTTTTGATTTGCATTTCTCTGATGGCCAGTGATGATGAGCATTTTTTCATGTGTCTTTTGGCTGCATAAATGTCTTCTTTTGAGAAGTGTCTGTTCATATCCTTCGCCCACTTTTTGATGGGGTTGTTTGTTTTTTTCTTGTAAATTTGTTTGAGTTCATTGTAGATTCTGATTATTAGTCCTTTGTCAGATGAGTAGATTGCAAAAATTTTCTCCCATTCTGTAGGTTGCCTGTTCACTCTGATGGTAGTTTCTTTTGCTGTGCAGAAACTCTTTAGTTTAGTTAGATCCCATTTGTCAATTTTGACTTTTGTTGCCATTGCTTTTGGTGTTTTAGACATGAAGTCCTTGCCCATGCCTATGTCCTGAATGGTATTGCCTAGCTGATAGGCAACTTCAGCAAAGTGTCAGGATACAAAGTCAATGTGCAAAAATCACAAGCATTCTTATACACCAATAACAGACAAACAGAGAGCCAAATCATGAGTGACTTCCATTCACAATTGCTTCAAAGAGAATAAAATACCTAGGAATCCAACTTACAAGGGACGTGAAGGACCTCTTCAAGAAGAACTATTTTTATTTTTATTAGAGACAAGGTCTTGCTCAATTACCCAGGTTGGTTTCAAACTATGAGGCTCAAGTAATCCTCCTGACTCGGCCTGTTAAAGGGCTAGGATTATAGGCATGAGCCTCTGTACCTGGCCCAATTTTCTATAAAATTTTGAGAACTGGCAAACCACTAACTAGACTAACAAAGAAAAAAAAGAAAAAAAAATAACCAAATAAATAAAATAAAAATTAAAAGGGTAGATTACCACTGATACCACAGAACTAAAAAGGATCATTAGAGACTATTATGAACAACTGTAAACCAACAAATTGGAAAACCTAGGAAAAATAAATAAATTCCTGGACACATACAATCTACTAAGACTGAGCCAAAAATAAATAGAAAACTTGAACAGACTAATTATGAGTAATAAGATTAAATCTGTAATTAAAAATCTCCTCTCAAAGAAAAGCCCAGGACCTGATAGCTTCTCTGCTGAATCCTATTAAACATTCAGCGAAAAATGAATACCAATTCCTCTGAAACTCTTCCAGAAAATTGAAGAAGCGGGTATAGCCTTTAGCATGTTGGGTAAGCCTATAGATTATAATTCAAGTCAGATTGGCTCTTCGCATGTGAATTCTTTTGGCCTATTTAGTCCTATTCGCATCCTTAAATTACTATTTAATTTAAATACAACAGTTGATTTTTTATTATATGAATAAACAGTATCAAGTTGTACTCAATCTTTGAATATAACTTCTACATATATATCCTACTGATCTGTGCATGTGAGGTTTCCATCTTTAATAATATCAACAATAAAAATAATAAATTTATGGCCAATTATTGAGTGTTTATAGTAAATTGGGTAGTATTTAAAACTCCTTATGGAAAATAACACATTTTATTTTTCACAACTGCTTGAGAAAATTTTCTCATTTTATAGGTGGAAACAGATGCATAGATTAATTTTTCCAAGGTTACATAGCTAGTCAGCAGTAAAGTCTAGATTCAGATCCTTAGCAGTTTTTCTCCAGAGTTGATCCTCTTAACTATTTCACTATGTTGTACCTTCAATCCAGATACACTGAGCTATTCTTATAAATTACACAGTTCTATGTCAGTGTGCTCTGTGGTACTATATTTACATACAAGTACACTACACATAACACACTGTATCTTTTGCACAGCTGATTCTTTATGAATGCTCCTGAAAATGGAAGGTTCCTAAAACATTCTATTCTTTTCAATTCATTTTTATTCAAATGGGTTCAATTCAAAAAATACTGATTGAGCTCCTTCTAGGCTGCAAGCAATATATTTGTCCTACATCTTACCTGGCTTGAGCACAGCAATGGAGGTAGAGACATAAACCAATAATGGCAATATCTGTCACCAGTTCAGTAATAGAGATAAAATTTAAGAGCAGAAGTGGCACAAAGTGAGGATTGTTTGGTTTTGTAAGCAATTTGCTTTACACATTTCAGAGATGTGCCATCTTTTTAACACTGTAATTTTAGGGATCAAGGAAATCACACACACAAAATACCCTCCAAATGCATTATTATATCTAACTTTTACTTGCATAATAACTGGGATGAGGATACATGTTGATGTAATTGTAGTAGTGCTTACTTATGCCTAATGTTCTAGTGTAATTAATAATAGCACCCCTTTTAACTTTCATAAGTAAAATGGTTTGGATGATGAATTGTAAGGTCAGCCTACGAAATCTATGAAAATAACCTACCCAATAGGTGTGAAGTACTCTGTGTCACATGAATAAAAGGGGCAGCTTTCAATGCAATAGCCTTCTATTACCTAAAGACAGAATTCTTGTCCTTGGGATCATAGATTGTAATTCATGTATAGCAGCTCCTGATCAGCTTAGGTAAAGTAGAACAATATTTTTACATAGTAATGCTGAGGACAATGTCAAAAAAAAAAAAAGGAAAAAAAAATGGTAGAAACATGTTAAAAAGAATGTGCTGGCCAAAATCCAAGAAAGAAATCATTTACATTACTGACATAAGGTAATTACACCACTGTGAAACCAGATACTGTAGGCCTACTCAGATGGTTCAGGACATGATAATTCCATCATTTGAGATAGCCAGCATGGCACAAGATGGAAGAAACTTTTGCAAAAGTTGTGGAGCCCACTATGTGATACTCAAAATTATAATGGTTTATGGTGCTAGAAGGTGTATTATGAATATGCATTCTGCTTCTCATCAGTAAAAGGAACAAAAATTTGGGGGGAAGTAACTATATCCTATTACCAAGATTTAACAATCATAGGGTAAAACAACACTATTAAAACAGCAAAAATAAATGAAAATGTGAACAAATGACCCAAGATATCCAATACGAGACAAAGATTTTTTTTGTTTGTTTTTGGAGACGGAGTCTCGCTCCATCGCTGGAATGCAGTGGCACGATCTCGGCTTACTGCAAGCTCCGCCTCCCGGGTTCACACCATTCTCCTGCCTCAGCCTCCCCAGTAGCTGGGACTACAGGTGCCCGCCACCACGCCCGGCTAATTTTTTTAAATTATTTTTAGTAGAGACGGGGTTTCACCATGTTAGCCAAAATGGTCTCGATCTCCTGACCTCGTGATCCGCCCACCTCGGCCTCCCAAAGTGCTGGGATTACAGGCGTGAGCCACCGCGCCCGGCCGACAAAGATATTTTAAGGCAGAACCAATGTCACTATATTTAGTTTTGGCCTTTGCAGTAACTTTAACTTTTGGCCTTACTTCATGCAGGTGATGCTATGCTGAGACTGAATAGCAGTGGATCTCTTTTCCTTCACTCTGCTTAAGGAGTGTGTGTATTGGAAACATATCCAAAGAAGTACTATCATTATGTGAGACCACAGAAGAAGTTCATACGGATATGCTAGCAAAAGACTGGCATAGTTGCTTTAAAAGCTTTTAGCTATGCTTCTACTAGCAGCATAACCTTACCCACATAAGACACAGAGGAATGGTTTTTGAAAACTGCTCTTTTTATATTGTCTCTTTGCTCAATTAAAAAAAATTAATGGGTCAATTTGCTGCATCTATAAAGCTGTTCTATCACTGGGGGTCAGAAAAGAAAAATACCTTAGAGCAGCCTGAGCTCTGTGAGTTATGCAAGCCCAGAGAGACATGAGGATGGGATTTCAGTCATGCCCTGCCCCCTCATGCCTGGGGGCAATTGTTTAAAGCAGGGGTCCCCAAGCCCTGGGCCGTGGACCAGTACTGTAGTCTGGTCTGTAGTCTGTTAGGAACTGGGCTGCACAGCAGGTGGTAAGAGGTGGGTGAGCAAGTGAAGCTTCATCTGGATTTACAGCTTCTCCCCATCACTCCCATAAAGACCTAAGATCCATCTCCTGTCAGATCAGTGGTGGCATTAGATTCTCATAGGAGCCCAAACCCTACTGTGAACTGCATATGTGAGGGATCTAGGTTGACTGCTTCTTATGAGAATGTAACTACTGCCTGATGATCTGAGGTGGAACAGTTTCATCCCCAAATCAACTACCTCCGTAGCCCCCCCACCACCCAAGTCTGTGGTAAAATTGTCTTCCATGAAACCAGTCCTTGGTGCCAAAAAGTTGTGGACCACTGGTATAAAGGAATTTTGTTCTTGACTAGCTGCCTCATCCATTATCTTCATGTTCCTGGAATTTTCGATACAAAGAACAGTGTATAACTTATGCTATTTTAATGTAAATTATTTATAAATAACTTAGGAACTGTCTGTTCCTTTCCTTTGAAAAACCTACTCATGTTGCTAATTAGAGTGTATATTCAGGGCATGTTAAATCAATCTACACTCCTAGGTTGCAACCTGCAAGCTTGGCCCAAATAAACTACTTATAATAATTTTGCCTCGCTTCTTCCTTTCAGGAAGACAAAGGCATAGAGCCTATGGTATTTTATAAAGTAGGACATCATTTTAATTTCTAAGGCCAAGTATACTTTGATAACAATCAAACTTGTTCATTGGTTGAAAATAAAACCCTTCAAGGTAGCTTTAAGAAAAAATTAAATGTATCATAAATAAGGCAACTTCTGGGTGAGAGGTGAAAATAGGGATCACTAGGAACAGCAACAAGGAAATAAAAAGTCACCAGAAATGTAGTCTCTTTTGGACTTTCATGTTCTCTCATCTTTTTTTTTCTGTTTTCTTTGTCCCTTTCATTTCTCTATTTTTGTCAGTGGATTTTCTGCCTCCGCTTACTCTTCAAGATATATGGTCCTTAAAACAGAATTTCCCAACAGTGGCTTTGCATCCTAGTTATATACATCCAAAACCTTACTTGTTAGAATTTTCTGGGTCTGAGTTCTAAACTTCTACGACAGAGAAACTCCAAGTTTAGATATTGGATCTTGATATCAGATAGGGGATGTTGCTCTAACTTGCTCTTTAAAATTCTCTAACTTATGGCTATTTACTCTTCCATATGAATTATAGGAACAGCTTATCAAGTTTTGTGAAAAATGTGATTGAAAACTCAAGTTGAAATTTTACTGAATAGAAACATAAATTTGAGGAGAGATAATATTTTTAAACATTGTCTTTTCATTCATGAGAATAGTATATTTCTTAATTTATTCATGTCTTTTATTCAATCATGATTTACAACTTTATCAATGAATACAGTAAACATTTTCTATTAGATTTGTTCTAAGGTACCTTATGGATTTTGTTGCTATTATAAATAAATATTTTTTCCTATTATATCTTCATTTGAGAAATTTTTGACAGAGGGTTATTGATTTATGTGTCACTTAACTATTTTGTTGAACTCTTTTATTAGATCTAGTAGCTATTAGTTCTTTATTTTGATAATTATGCCAATAGGGTAAGAATGCTATTGACTTTTATATGTTCTTTTATGCAACCTGCCAAAATCTTGCAATTGAACTAGTTTGGTTTCTAATCCATTTATTTCTGTTTTATTTTCCTTGCCTTCTTGAGATGAATGTATAGCTCACTTATTTTTAATCTTTTCTCTTTAAAATAAAATCCACATAATGCTACAAAATATACCTGATATTTTAGTTGCATTGGATTGGTTTTGAGAGAATTATATCTCAAAAGCATACACACACACGTAAAATGTATCTTTACATTTTTAACTTCTATTTCCTTATTCCTTTTTTAAATTTTTTAAATAATACTTTAAGTTCTGGTATACATGTGGAGAACATGCCAGTTTGTCACATAGGTATACACATGCCATGGTGGTTTGCTGCACCCATCAACTCATCATCTACATTAGGTATTTCTCCTAATGGTATCCCTCCCCTAGCCCCCACACTCCCTGACAGGCCCTGGTGTGTGATTTTCCCCTCCCTGTGTCCACGTGTTCTCATTGTTCAACTCCCACTTATGAGTGAGAACATGTGGTGTTTGGTTTTCTGTCCTTGTGATAGTTTGCTGAGAATGATGGTTTCCAGCTTCACCCATGTCCCAGCAAAGGACATGAACTCATCCTTTTTTATGGCTGCATAGTATTCCATGGTGTATATTTGCCACGTTTTCTTTATCCAGTCTATCACTGATGGGCATTTGGGTTGGTTCCAAGTCTTTGCTATTGTGAATAGTGCCACAATATACCTATGTATGCGTGTGTCTTTATAGTAGAATTATTTATAATCCTTTGGGTATATACCCAGTAATGAGATTGCTGGGTCAAATGGTATTTCTTGTTCTAGATCCTTGAGGAATCACCACACTGTCTTCCACAGTGGTTGAACTTATTTACACTCCCACCAACAGTGTAAAAGCGTTCCTATTTCTCCACATCCTCTCCAGCATCTGTTGTTTCCTGACTTTTTAATGATCACCACTATAACTGGCGTGAGATGGTATCTCATTGTGGTTTTGATTTGCATTTCTCTAATGACCAGTGATAATGAGCTTTTTTTCATATATTTGTGGCCACATAAATGTCTTCTTTTGAGAAGTGTCTGTTCATATCCTTGGCCCACTTTTTGATGGGGTTGTTTTCTTTCTGTAAATTTCTTTAAGTTCTTTGTAGATTCTGGATATTAGCCCTTTGTCAGATGGATAGATTGCAAACATTTTCTCCCATTCTGTAGGTTGTCTGTTCACTCTGATGATAGTTTCTTTTGCTATGCAGATGCAGAAGCTCTTTAATTTAATTAGATCACATTTGTCAATTTTGGCTTTTGTTGCCATTGCTTTTGGTGTTTTAGTCTCGAAGTCTTTGCCCATGCCTATGTCCTGAATGGTATTGCCTAGGTTTTCTTCTAGGGTTTTTATGGTTTTAGGTCTTACATTTAAGTATTTAATCCATTTTGAGTTAAATTTTCTATAAGGTGTAAGGAAGGGATCCAGTTTCAGTTTTCTGCATATGTTTAGCCAGTTTTCCCAGCACCATTCATTAAATAGGGAATCCTTTCCCCATTTCTTGTTTTTGTCAGGTTTTTCAAAGATGAGATGGTTATAGATATGTGGTGTTACTTCTGAGGCCTCTGTTTTGTTCCATTGGTCTATATATCTGTTTTGGTATCAGTACCTTGCTGTTTTGGTTACTTTAGCCTTGTAGTATAGTTTGAAGTCAGGTAGCGTAATGCCTCCAGCTTTGTTCTTTTTGCTTAAGATTGTCTTGGCTATGCGAGCTCTTTTTTGGTTCCGTGTGAAATTTGAAGTAGTTTTTTCTAATTCTGTGAAGAAAGTCAATGGTAGCTTAATGGGGATAGCACTGAATCTATAAATTACTTTGAGCAGTATGGCCATTTTCACAATACTGATTCTTCCTATCCTTTAGCATGGAATGTTTTTGCATTTGTTTTTGTCCTCTCTTATTTCGTTGAGCAGTGGTGTGTAGTTCCCCTTGAAGAGGTCCTTCACATCCCTTGTAAGTTGTATGCCTAAGTATTTTATCCTCTTTGTAGCAATTGTGAATGGGAGTTCACTCATGATTTGGCTCTCTGTCTGTTATTTGGTGTGTAGGAATGCTTGTGATTTTTGCACACTGATTTTGTATCCTGAGACTTTGCTGAAGTTGCTTATCAGCTTAAGGAGATTTTGGGCTGAGACAATGGGGTTTTCTAAATGTACAATCATGTCATCTGCAAACAGAGGCAATTTGATTTCCTCTCTTCCTATTTGAATACCCTTTATTTCTTTCTCCTGCCAGATTGCCCTGGCCAGAACTACCAATACTATGTTGAATAGGAGTGGTGAGAGAGGGCATCCTTGTCTTGTGCCACTTTTCAAAGGTAATGCTTCCAGCTTTTGCCCATTCAGTATGATATTGGCTGTGGGCTTGTCATAAATAACTTTTATTATTTTGAGATACTTCCCATGAATGCCTAGTTTACTGAGAGTTTTTAGTATGGATGGATGGGGTATTGAATTTTATTGAATGCCTTTTCTGCATCTATTGAGATAATCATGTGTTTTTTTGTCATTGGTTCTGTTTATGTGATGGATTACGTTTATTGATTTGTGTATGTTGAACTAGCCTTGCATCCCAGAGATGAATCCGACTTGATTGTGGTGGATAAGCTTTTCGATGTGCTGCTGGATTTGATTTGCCAGTATTTTATTGAGGATTATTGCATCGATGTTCCTTCAGGGATATTGGCCTGCAATTTTCTTTTTTTGTGTGTCCCTGCCAGGTTTTGGTATCAAGATGATGCTGGCCTCATAAAATGAGTTAGGGAGGAGTCCCTCTTAGGGGGAGTCCCTCTTTTTCTATTGTTTGGAATAGTTTCAGAAGCAATGGTATGAGCTCCTCTTTGTACCTCTGGTAGGATTCAGCCATGAATCTGTCTAGTCCTGGGCTTTTTTTGGTTGGTAGGCTATTAATTACTGCCTCAATTTCAGAAAATGTCATTGGTCTATTCAGGGATTTGACTTCTTCCTGATTTAGTCTTCAGAGGGTGTATGTGTCCAGGAACTTAACCATTTCTTCTAGAATTTCTAGTTTATTTGCATAGAGGTATTATAGTATTCTCTGATTGTAGTTTGTATTTCTGTGGTATCAGTGGTGATATCCCCTTTATTATTTTATATTGTGTCTATTTGATTCTTCTCTCTTTTCCTCTTTATTAGTCTGGCTAGCGCTCTATCTATTTTGTTGATCTTTTCAAAAAACCACCTCCTGGATTCACTGATTTTTTGAAGGGTTTTTCATGTCTTTATCTCCTTCAGTTCTGCTCTGATCTTAGTTATTTCTTGTCTTCTGCTAGCTTTTGAATTTGTTTGCTCTTGCTTCTCTAGTGTTTTAAATTGTGATGTTAGGGTGTTGATTTTAGATCTTTCCTGCTTTCTCTTGTGGGCATTTAGTGCTATAAATTTCCCTCTAAACACTGCTTTAGCTGCGTCCCAGATATTTTGGTATGTTGTATCTTTGTTCTCATCGGTTTCAAAGAACTTATGTGTTTCTGCCTTAATTTCGTTATTTACCCAGTGGTCATTCAGAAGCAGGTTGTTCAGTTTCCATGTAGTTATGCGGTTATGAGTGAGTTTCTTAATCCTGAGTCCTAATTTGATTGCACTGTGGTCTGAGAGATGGTTTGTTATGATTTCTGCTCTTTTGCATTTGCTGACGAGTGTTTTACTTCCAATTATGTCATCAATTTCAGAATAAGTGCGTTGTGGTGCTGAGAAGAATGTACATCCTGTTGATTTGTGGTGGAGAGTTCTGTAGATGTCTATTAGGTCTGCTCGGTCCAGACTTGAGTTCAAGTCCTGAACATCCTTGTTAATTTTCTGTCTCATTGATCTAATATTGACAGTGGGGTGTTACAGTCTCCCACTATTATTGGGTGGGAGTCTAAGTCTCTTTGCAGGTCTCTAAGAACTTGCTTTATGAACCTGGGTGCTCCTGTCCTAGGTGCATATATATTTAGGATAGTTAGATCTTCTTGTTGCATTGATCCCTTTACCACTATGTAATGCCCTTCTTTGTCTTTTTTTGATGTTTGTTGGTGTAAAGTCTGTTTTATCAGAGACCAGGATTGCAACCCCTGCTTTTTTATGCTTTCCATTTGCTTGGTAAATATTCCTCCCTCCCTTTATTTTGAGCCTATGTGTATCTTTGGATGTGAGATGGGTCTCCTGAATACAGCACACTGATGGGTCTTTATTCTTTATCCAATTTGCCAGTCTGTGTCTTTTAATTGAGGTGTATAGCCTATTTACATTTAAGGTTAATATTGTTATTTGTGAATTTTTTCCTGTCATTATGATGCTAGCTGGTTATTTTTCCAGTTAGTTAATGCAGTTTCTTCATTGTGTCGATGGTCTTTACAATTTGGTATCTTACTGCAGTGGCTGCTACTTGTTTCTCCTTTCCATGTTTAGTGCTTTCTTCAGGAGCTCTTGTAAGGCAGGCCTCGTGGTGACAAAATCTCTCAGCATTTGCTTGTCTGTAAAGGATTTTCTTTCTCCTTTGCTTATGAAGCTTACTTTGGCTGGATATGAAATTCCGGGTTGAAAATTCTTTTCTTTAAGAATGTTGAATATTGGCCCCCACTATCTTCTGGCTTGTAGGGTTTCTGCAGAGAGATCTGCTGTTAGTCTGATGGGATTCCCTTTGTTGGTACCCTGACCTTTCTCTCTGGCTGCCCTTAACATTTTTTCTTTCATTTCAACCTTGTTGAATCTGATGATTATGTGTCTTGGGGTTCCTATTCTCGAGGAGTATCTTTATAGTGTTCTCTGCATTTCCTGAATTTGAATGTTGGCCTGTTTTTCTAGGTTGGGGAAGTTCTCATGGATAATAACCTGAAGTGTGTTTTCCAACTTGGTTCCATTTTCCCCATCCCTTTCAGGTACACCAATCAAATGTAGGTTTGGTCTTTTCACATAGTCCCATATTTCTTGGAGGCTTTGTTTGTTCCTTTTCATTCTTTTTTCTCTAATCTTGTCTTCGTGATTTATTTTATTAACTTGATCTTCAATCTCTGATATCCTTTCTTCCCCTTGATCAATTTGGCTATTGATACTTGTGTATGCCTGACGAAGTTCTCATGCTGTGTTTTTCAGCTCCATCAGGTCATTTATGTTCTTCTCTAAACTTTATTCTAGTTAGCAGTTCCTATAACCTTTTATCAAGGTTCTTAGCTTCCTTGCATTCAGTTAGAACATGCTTCTTTAGCTCAGAGGAGTTTGCTTATACCCACCTTCTGAAGCCTACTTCTGTCAATTCGTCAAACTCATTCTCCATCCAGTTTTGTTCCCTTGCTGGTGAGGAGTTGTGATCCTTTGGAAGAGAAGAGGAATTCTGGTTTTTGGAATTTTCAACCTTTTTGTGCAGGTTTTTCCTTATTTACATGGATTTATCTACCTTTGGTCTTTGATGTTGATGAGCTTTGGATGGGGTTTTGGTGTGGACATCCTTTTTGTTGATGTTGATACTATTCCTTTCCGTTTGTTAGTTTTCCTTCTAACAGGCCTCTCTGCTGCAGTTCTTCTGGAGTTTGCTGGAGGTCCACTAGAGACCCTGTTTGCCTGGGTATCACCAGCGGAGACTGCAGAACAGCAAAGATTGCTGCCTGTTCCTTCCTCTGGAAGCTTCATCCTAGAGGGGTACCCGCCAGATGCAGTGGGAGCTCTCCTGTATGAGGTGTCTATCAACTCCTGCTGGGAGGTGTCACTCAGTCAGGAGGCACGGCAGTCAAGGACCCACTTGAGGAGGCAGTCTGTCCCTTAGCAGAGCTTGAGCGCTGTGCTGGGAGATCTGCTGCTCTCTTCAGAGCTGGCAGGAAGGAACACTTAACTCTGCTGAAGCTGTGCCCACAGCCACCCCTTCCCCCAGCTGCTCTGTCCCAGGGAGATGGGAGTTTTATCTATAAGCCTCTGACTGGGGCTGCTGCCTTTCTTTCAGAAATGCCATCCCCAGAGAAGAGGACTCTAGAGAGGTAGTCTGACTACAGTGGCTTTGCAGAGCTGAGGTGGGCTCTGCCCAGTTTGAATGTCCTGGAGGCTTTGTTTACACTGTAAGGGGAAAACTGCCTACTCAAGCCTCAGTAATGGTGGATGCCCCTCTCCCCACCAAGTTTGAGCATCCCAGGTTGACTTCAGACTGTTGTGCTGGCAGTGAGAATGTCAAGCCAGTGGATCCTAGCTTGCTGGACTCCGTAGGGGTGGGATCCGCTGAGCTACACAACTTGGCTCCCTGGCTTCAGCCCCCTTTACAGGGGAGTGAACGGTTCTGTCCTGCTGGTATTCCAGGTGCCACTGGGATATGAAAAACTCCTGCAGCTAGTTCAGTGTCTGCCCAAACAGCTGCCCAGTTTTGTGCTTGAAACCCAGGGCCGTGATGTCATAGGCAATGTAGGGAATCTCCTTGTCTGTGGGTTGTGAAGACCATGGGAAAAGCATAGTATCTGGGCCGGAGTGCACTGTTACTCACACACAGTCCCTCAGGGCTTCCCTTAGCTAGGGAAGGGAGTTCCCCAACCCCTTGCACTTTCTGGGTGAGGCAATGCCCCACTGTGCTTTGGCTTGCCCTCTGTGGGCTGCATCCACTGCCTATCTAACCAGTCCCAATGAGATGAGCTGGGTACCTGAGTTAGAAATGCAGAAATCACCCACTATCTGTGTTGATCTCACTGGGAGCTGCAGACTAGAGCTGTTCCTATTTGGCCATCTTGCCAGCCACAGAGTATTTCCTGATTCCTATTGTAATATAAGATATGTTTTTTAACAGGATATTCATTTTTTAAATTCATTTTACTATTGATGTCCATTTAGATTAGGATATTACCATAGACTATTGCTTATAAGCAATTATTTGTAATGTGATAATACTGCCTTTGTGACCTACTGCATTGTTAGTTTGATTATTATTCCATGTTTACCTATTTTCTTTTGGACACACAGTTCTAAACATATTTATTAGCTAAAGCTTTTTAAGTTTGTTGTTCTAAACAATATTGCAAGTAATTTATAATATATAATAATATATAGTTCACTTTGGTCATTTAGTCTCTTACTAATATTATTGAGGTATCCATTTCTCTTTGCAGTTGTGCCAGTTTTACTTTGTATATTTTAAGCCTCTTAGTTCATAGTTGCAAACAAGCTCATGGTTATTAGCATTACTTAGCAATTTTTCCCTTTTATTATTGTACATAATATGCTTATTAATGTTTTGCCTTAAATTCTATGCCATCTGATATTAATATTGCTGCATTAGTTTTCTTATAGTTACTATTCACATATCATAGCTTTCACCATCATTTTATCATGGCTCTTGCCAAGAATTTATAACTATAATAATAAAAATCCAGTCTGTAATCTTTAAGTAGACAAGTTTGAACAATTTACACTATTTTGATTAGCTACTATGTTTGAACTTATTTTTATTATATTATTTTGACTTTTCTGTTAGTCATCTTTGTACATTATTTTTCTGTATTTATTAGTGCTTTAGGGAGTAAAAACTTAAAAAAATTACTTTATTTTCTCTGCTGCTTTAGAAGTGACACAGGCTGAGTATCACTAATCAAAAATTCCAAAATGTGAAATACTCCAAAATCTGAAACTTTTAAAGTGCTGACATGATGCTCAAAGGAAGTGCTCACTGGGGCATTTCAGATTTCAGATTTTTGGATTAGAGATGTTGAACTGGTAAGTATAATGCAAATATCTCAAAATCCAAAAAAAATCCAAAGTCTGAAAGAATTCTGTTTCCAAATGTTTGCAACAAAGGATATTCTCAACCTGTATATTTTCTTTCAATTCTGTTAGTAGTCAGTCTTAATTTTTAAAATTTATGCTTAATGATTTTTCTTTAACAAAGTCATTTATGTTTTCTGTTCTGTCAAAAAAATAACAAAAATGAAGCATCTTGATTGCACCATATTGGTATTGTTTTTTGACGGTTTTAAACCAATATGACACAAATACACTTTTTATATTTAAAATCAATCATTAAATGTACAGATACCTTATCCAGCTTGGTGTTAACTCCTGTTTCTTGTAACTCATGCCATTTGTGTGGGTTTCCTCTTTTTCCTGTGGAAGTGCATCCAATTACCATTCTTTTACTGAGGGTCTGTTTATGAGTATTTCTTAGTCTTTGTAAACCTAAAAATGCCTTCTCAGGTGATGATTCTTTTGTGAGTGTGGCATTTGATGTGGATATTTTTTTTCTTAGCATTTTGAAGATATTCCATCATCTTCTGGCACCTGAGTAGATAATTTATGCTTCCTCTTGGGAAGCTTTTAAGATTTTTCCCTTTAGATAAACATGGTAGAGTCAGAATAATTGTTAATTTTTCTGCTTCTTAAAACTTTATAAAAATGAGATTAAAAGGACAAAATAATATGAAGAGCTATAAAATAATATAAAAACTGAGGAAAGATGTTATAACAAGGAATTTTTGAAAGCTGTAACACATACTGATGAGGATAATTTACTTAAAATACCAAATAAGGCTGAAATTTATTCTAGCATATGCAGAAGCTCAGAATCAATCCAGTTGTGCCACACAACACCAGAAATGTTGGGAAATGCCTCTAAACCTGGTAATGCAGTTAGAGCTTGAAAACGTAAGGAATATTTGGAAGATTGTATACAATGCATTTAGACCCCTGGATCTCTTTGCCCTTCCTACATAACCAGTCAACTGTATTTCCTTAACCCTGGCAGGACCAGAAGTTTATTTTCTGAGTAAACTGATTAACCTATAAATAGAAGGGTAAAAATAGCCTTCAGGGACAGCAAAATTTGGAGGTGCATCATTTGAAGACCTATCATTGAAATAGCTGTTTCATTATCCTATTATGAGATCCATCAGTCAACACATCTCCCTGCCTCTCCCTAAGATAGCCAAGCACACATAACCTCCAATTAGCTTTTTAGTTCTCGTTCACTCCTAAATATTATTAGAAAGCCACTACGGCCATTGGAAGAAAATATTTAACATAAAAACAGAAACCAAAAGAAAGAAGTGGACCAATAAATTCAAATAAAAAAAAACTTGGGAGCAGAAAGAAAATCATAACAACTATAACTGATATCCTCAAAAGAGATAGAAGAAAATATTGCAGAAACACACACAGACACACATACACACAATTAAAAAGACTAGCCAATGAACAAAACAATTAAATAATTGTGGGAATAAAAAATTGGAAAGTGCCAAAAAAGAAAATTGAGGAAATTTCCCAGAAATGAAAATGAAATGAAAAAGACATGGAAAATAAACTAAAGAAAAAACAAGAGAAATTAGAGCATCAGCATCAAGTCAGAAGATCTAACATTCAAGTAGTTTAACAAAGACACAAACAAATATAATGGATGTGATAATATATCACATAAATAGTAGAAGATATTCTGGGACTGAAGAACGTGAGTTTCTAGATTTGAAAGGCCCACTGACAGTCCCAATTAAAGATGAAAATGGATGCACACACAAAAAAACACATCATCATATAATTTCAGAACTCTGAAACATGGAGAAAATCTAGAAAAGTTTCCAGAGAAAAATAAATTACACAAAGTGTTTACTTATTGACATCTTCTTGAAAGCTGAAGTGTATATTTAAGAATTGATTTTACCCCTAAATTCTAGAGAATTCTCAGCTATAATTTTTAGATATTAATTTTCCATCATTCTTTCTCTTCTGGAATTCCTATCAGGTATATGTTGTGCTATTTTAATTTCTCTTCCAGACCTCTAAAATAATGTTTTATGTTTTTCTATTTCCTTGTTCTTTGTACTGCATTCTTAATAAATTTCTTATATAATCTTTTCAATTCACCAGTCCTCTATTTTATTCTGTTTAATGTGGATATTTTTAAATTTTAATGACCATGATTTTTATTTGATTTGTTCTTTTCGTACATAGCCATCATTTTCTTCTTTAAAAAGAATTCCTTGCAATTGAAAAAATAAAATTTTTCTTTCATTTATCAATTTTAGTATCTCAAATATCGATATTTAAAGTCTTCATTGGATTGTTTCATAAAAATAATTTGATGTGGAGTGAATCCATGTTCCAGTTCTTGATTTGGTTATCTGTACTTTGGTATTTGAGTTTATCATGTGTTTTAGAATTTTGTTTATAAGTCCACTGCCTCTTTCTTTGGGTTTATTTCTCTTTTTCAACCTGCTTTTGAGGTAGTCTTCACTTGACTTCTTGATCCTCACATGCAGAATCAGAGCATATCATGATGCTTGGGGGTTTCTGTGCCATGGGGATAATAGAACCATTGCATAGTCTGTCAATTACAAATTCAGTTTGTCGTTTTTGTGCTGCTCTTAAGAGGAAGGCTATGTCTGCATTCTTCCTAGGCTTAGAGTCTGTTAAAGTTGCATTCCAGATTTTAGTCAGTGTTATTATTAGTATTTTTTCTTGAGAAGGAAGCCCCACTCAAATCCTTGGCTTCAAATTGTGAACATGCCTTCAGTCACTTTATTAAATGTTGCTTTTAGTTATCCCAATATTGTATGCATTATATACTAGGAAATGTCAGGGGTTGGGGGTGAGTGAGGGAGAACAATTTAGCCCTGCCACATCAGCTAAAGTGGATGCTAGAAGGAGAGGGAAGATATTATGTGTACTAGCTGTCTCCATTTCAACCTTATATATTTAGGGTTGTCTCATAGTCCAGTTGACTAGAAAAAAAGGCTTTGATTAGAAGGCCTAATTGATCAATGCCAATTTTAACAAAAACAAGTGATATTGGTTTAGTATGTTACCTCTTGTTCTCTAGATGGACACTAAGAATATCTTAAAATTAATAAGAATTTAGAATTTAGATCAGAGATGCTATGTGGAATTAATTTTTCAAATATTTATGATGTACCCATAAATTATACTACCTCATATCCTTCTATGAAATTCAAAATACATAGAACTCATGTTAGAAAATTATTATGTTTGAAAGAGAAGGAAGTGATTCATTATTAAAAGTTCCTGGACATTTGATAAAATACTTGTTTCATTGTAATCCAAGGGTCCCCAGGGCTTGAGTGGTATATATTTGAATGACTGGTGAAATAAAACCTCCTTTGTCGTGAAATGCAGGTACATGTATTTGAAGTAGTTGGTATTATTTTTTTTTCTATACCTCATACTGCAGCAGAAAAACTGATGGTGACTTGTAAAAGGGTATGCAGTTCCACTGAGAAACCTGAGAAAGAACTCAGTTTTGGGATTTCTAGGCTGCTCCTTTTCTATTTTCATTTAATATCCTACCCTCTCTGCTTTTCTTCCTAAACTTTGCCACATAAGTATTTTACTGTTACCTTGAAATGGTCTTAGACATTTTTTTAAAGTATCTCACAAAGTCTTGGGCCTGAGTCAAAGCAGATTAGTGTTCTTTCCTACTAAATAATAAAATCACTAAAATATGAAATGATATCTAATATTATCTTGATTATTCCCACTACAGAAAGAGGATGAAAAATTACTTTAGTGTTAAAATCCAATTAGCCAATGATTGATTTTAACTACTCATGCTTTAGTTTCAAAAAGCATGCCTGAAATACAGCAATGTCAAAATACCTCATTGGAATCTCTCGTCTGGTTATTTGTGTCACTCCTGAGCCTCATCATGGAGGATGGCTGACCTAACAAGCTATCAAGTCCCCACAATTGTTGTAAAATCCCTTTCATTTTATTCAGGGAAAATGCCTGGTATATATTTACTTTTCATTATAGGAAAATACATCTTTATGGATTACCTCTTAAAAATCATGCTTTAATACAACCTAGAAAATTGAGTATGATTCCTCAGATATGAAAACAATTCCTGTATGGGAAAAGATTGAATTAAATTGGGATTTTACTAGCATATTGAGTAAACACTCCATCTTTGATATGTTAACACTACCTGGGCACCCTGAGAGATTTTTTTTCCTTCCAATTTATAAATTAGAATTCTGGTGTAGGTGTGATCAAGTATAGAGTTTTTATTTTGTGTAGTCCTATTCAGGTCATTCAAAGCATTCTGCCTACTTTAAGAATCATTTTTACGTATTTAGGCAAGTAAGAAGAAAGACTGGATCCAAAACACAGAAAGTTAGATGATCATTTTTCATTATTGTGATACAAAGTTCATAATTCATTAACTATTTCTCACATTATAGCTAAATTTAGCTGAAGATAACTGTTTCCTATAGCTAACATATAGTTAGCTGCTGTGTAAGGTTAGGAGGTTAGAAATGTACAACGTTGTGAAGGAATAAACTTGTTGGCATTGGGAATGATTTCACAGAAAAGCTGGCTATAGGCAGGTCCTTAAAGTTAGAATAGAATTTTGACAGGAGGTGGGAAAGTAAGAAGTGTTTTTCCCAGGAGGGTTGAATTAATTAACTCAAAAAATACTTAGAACAAACTAAATAAATAGAGCTATTCTGCACTGCTATGTGCTAGGCACTACTCAAAGTATTTAAAATGTATTATTTTAATTCATCTATTAAAATACCTATGAGTTAGGTACCATTAATATTTTCATTTTATAGATGAAGCCCTGAGGCACAGAGAGATCACTCAGCTATTAAGTAGTAGAATCAGGATTCAGTCCAAGACAGCAGACTCCAGAGCCCACACTGCTAAAAACAAGAACCCTGGAGCCAACAGCCTGGTTTCAAATCCTAACTTCGTCTACAGTACTTGGATTAGTGCCTGAGTCAGGGTAAATGTCTAATAAATGTGAACTATTTTAATTATGTCAATTGTTATTAATAAGTTACTTCTCTGTGTCTATGCATAAGTCATTCAATGTACTACAGATGATACAAATATGATAAGAGAAGGCCCCAGTCCTCAGTGAACTTTCAGTCTTGTGGGAGAAAGAGATACAGTCAACCCTCTGTATCCTCGGATTTCACATCTGAGGACTCAACCAACCACGATAGAAAATATTCAGAAAAAAAATAGATGACTGCACCTGTTCTAAACATGTACAGACTGTTTTCTTGTCATTATTCCCCAAGTGATAGAGTATAACAAGTATTTACATAGCATGCACATTGTATTAGCTTATAAATAATTTAGAGATGATTTAAAGTATAAAGGAGGATGTGCACAGGTTATATGCAAATAATATGCCTTTTATATAAGGGTCCTGAGCATCTACACATCTTGTTACTAGTGGCTCCTTGACCCAGTCCCCCTTGGATACTGAGGGAGGACTCTGTGCACCCCAGAGGTGTAATGGGCTAAGCATGGCAGAGATTATCTCCAATAGGAAGAGAAGAAATCAAGAAAGACCCCAGTTGTTCTTTGAGCAGAACATAGAATACATAAGTTTGTATTTGAAGAGGTAAGGAGAAGGGCATTATGGGGCGAAAGGACAGTGTGCGCTAAGGCATTTTGTGTTAAAAATATTCAGCATATGTTGGAGAATAGCTTTGCTTGTTTTTTATCTGCAGAGGGGACAGGCAGGGTAGTGAGAATAAAAGGCAGAAAAGCAACTTTAAGTTCAGATCTCGTGGAGCCTTGAAGAGGTCTTTAAACAAGTGAGTGACAGATCAAAGGCGTTTTGTGAAGATCATTTTGGTAACAGGGAATAGAGTGGAGGAAGAGAGGGCAAGGGATATTATAAGCATGTAAACCAAATCGGGCTTGATTCGTTTTTAGTTCCACTGTAATAATTCTAACAGTATACTAGATCATTCATTTGTTTTATGTCACTGGACAAATCAATTACTATTATGTTCCTGTGTTTCCTTATCTCAAAAAAGAGAGCTGAATTGATAAGTATATGATCATCAGCTCATAGAGGTCATAAACTCTCTGTGCTTGACTTCAGGCTTAAATATTTTCACAATTATGTTTTGCTCATGATGGTGATTCACAGATATGAATATCTTCTATCTCTTAGTAAATTCTTATTTTCATCTTGTTTTTCTTCTCAAACTATAATTAAGAGAAAACTGTATTTCATGGTTTTATATCGTACAGAGATTAGTATATAATATAGACACAAATAATTCTTATTTGATTCTTGACAAGATAAAACTCTATGCTTTGATTATGATTCTTTTCCAGTGAGCTGAAGAATTTGCCAGGCCCAGCTTTTAGAACAATTTTGATGTGTAAAATTAGGATCATAATTTGTGTTTTACCATCACTGCTTAGTAAACTAAAAAAAGATATTAATTTTTATTTTGTATATTTTCATATCTTACTTCCCAAACCAGAACACACACCATTAAAAAGAGTGGAATAAGATATGTTTTTCCCCAAAATAAATATTCAAGTCCATAGAGTAAGAGACAGTTATACAAATTTTTTTATTATGAAAATTCATAATGTATTATATTTTCCAAATAAGGAAAGCTGATCTCAAGCTAATAGCTTATATTTGGGAAATTTCATTGTGCCTTTCACAACATATTTTCCTACTCCTCTTTGGACTATAGTAGAACATGTCTCCTTTGATATTTCAAGCCTGAATGTCCCTTAGATACTTTAAGATGCTACAGCAAATAAAGTCCTGTTGGTCTGAGAAGATACTAGAA
This sequence comes from Homo sapiens, assembly GCF_000001405.40. Lineage (NCBI taxonomy): Eukaryota > Metazoa > Chordata > Mammalia > Primates > Hominidae > Homo > Homo sapiens. The sequence continues at coordinate 113,848,146 of NC_000007.14, read as the reverse complement.
GTAAATTTTAAAACTAATTATGACTCTTCTGCTGAGAGTTTCTTTAAGAGCCACTCTCTAATTTCTGTCAAACATTTGCAGTTCTAGTACAAATACTTTTATTTTTTTAAGAATTAATTCACTTGCATTTAAACTTCAAGGTAGTGTTTGCCTTTCATTGTGAAATAGAGAAAGGTTGTGAAGAAATTTCCAAGGAATTAAAAAATTAACTCTGAAAATTCTCTTTTAATTTTGCAAAAACATAATGGGTCCAGTCCTAACAATCACAGAGTTACACAATTATCTTACGGATTTAGGATGGTCTCATTGTCAATTCAGGCTTTTAAGGAAAAAACAAATCAATTCTTAAAAATAAACTCTCCGAGGTGATTGTATTGCCAATCTAAGCTTTAGTGGAAAATTACCAAATGTCCTTTCTTCTTTTAGTCACATTTATTTTCCTTCCCCATAAAAAACAAACACAGCAGCGATGAATTTCCCTTAATGTTCTCTGACCAACACAGATGAGGTGTAATTGCCTGTGGATGAAACATTCTCCTGAGTCAAGAGTTGCACAGAGACTTTCTACATGTAAAGTGTCTTCCTGCCTAATACTAGTTTTTTTGTCCTAGCAAAGGAAGTGGATTGGATTTAGTTCAATTTGTTTTTAACCTTTGTATCATAACATTTGTTCAAAGAGAAGATTCAGAGTCAACAATAAGTCTAATTGGATTATTTTCACCTATTAGAAAACATATTTAAAATCAACATTTGATACGTAGATAAATATCATTTATAAAATGTTATATGGTTACAAACATTTAATTTGCATTAGATTGTAAAATACTGAGGTTTATTGTCACCCTCTTACCTAAATAATTCATAGAAAGGGTCTCTTGTAGCCTTATATTAATGACCTGAATGGAATGAAGGCTACTATGTAGAATATACTAATGTATCTACTAAAATATGTAAAGTTAGTTTCATTAACTAGGTTTACATTATCCATTTTTCTTATGACAATCATGCTTCTTATGACACACAAGAACATATCTGTTTAAAATTGTTGAATAAATTATTCGCTTTTTTTCTGGGCTTATTGTCATTTGACTGAACTCCACAGTTACATCCAATAAGAAGTTAAAAATGAAGTTTCTGTCAACTATTTTCTACTAGCAAACATAGTGACTCACCTTCCAAATAAAAGCACATCAACATGAAATTTTCCCAAGGGTATATTCTAGGTCATAATCTTTATGTTAATGAATTCCTTACTGAATAGTAAATCGTAAGAATATATTACCTTATTCCTATAATACATTACCTGCCAGCAGGTAATTACCCATCAAAACCTAAACAGAAAGGGAGATCTTGACACTAGTGACCCCGCTAAAATTAAAGAAAAAGTACACTGTAATTGGACAAAAGATACTATTGCATATCAGAATGCAACACCAAAGCATTAGCATCTATCAGTAACTCCCAATGAGATTTGTTATTATTATTTACTAATTACCATTGGAGATTTTGTAATTTGCAGAATAAGTCAACCATATGTTTTGGGATTTTACTAGCTATTACTGAACACATTTACATTTTGCATATCAACTATAGTTTCTAGGGAATGCTGTCCAGATAGGCTCTTAAAAAGCTGTTTGGAGTTATTTGATTAAGGAGTTAGAGGAGATCACAAACGGCCATCTGGTTTGTCTGCCTGCCTGACGATTAATTTCAACAACCAGCTAACTGATGTACAAAGCACTTAATGGGCAGTCTCAGGAACTCCCAATAAGATAAGCATTATTATCCACATATTATGGAAGGACATGAGTAAGTGGCAATATAAGGGTCAAAGCTTGGAGATGCCCTAAAGCCCCTTCTCCTGGGCATTATTCTATGGGGTGAAGGTAATATTTCGGAAAGGTCACCGAATGGATAAGTATATCCCAGTTCCCAATGGAAGGACATATATTTAATGACCACTTATTTATTTAATATGTATGAAGTGCTTACTTAGTGTATCATTTTGGGCTGGGTCATGAATAGCTTTTAAGAATATCCAACAATTAGCATGAAGATTTTTTTTAAAAAAGAACAATTTATCACATTAATGATTTAAACAAATGCAGTTTGATACACTAACTGATGGTAATAAAGACAGTAGCCACAAATTCAACCCTTTCATATGTAATTGAATCATTATTTGTAGTACTTATATCAACATTAAAATTTTGTGGCAACTTATGAGAGATATAATCAATTTTTATAGCGACACATTTCTTCTTGATATCTTACCTTTTTTCAGAAAAGAGAGTTATCTTTTTAAAGTTTATGCTTTGAAATTTACTATTAAGTTTAGCTTTGTCTTTTATATTCCCAATTAATCCATGTAAAATATGAGACACAAACAGAATGTCTGTGTGGATGTTTCCATTACTCTTACAATATAATGATGGAGAAGTGTTGTTAAATATTGTCTTTAAAAGAGCTGACAATTAACTATAAAACTCCTAAAGTCTCAATGTCATGAAAACTGCAACATAAAATAAGACAAAAGCAGAACATCTAAAATCTTGGTATTTCTTTGATTTCTTTAATATAATAGTAAGTGTATCATGATAAAATAATATTTGAAATGATTTGATCATTACACGTTATATGCATGTATCAAAATATAACATATACCCAGAAATAGGCACAATCATTATGTATCAATTAAAAAATGTACCAAGACTTCAGAGTGAATCCAAGTATTAAATGCCTATTTATATTTTTCCACAATTATTTAATGCATACCTAATAGATAACAGGCAATGAAATAGGTAGTATAGATAGTGTATTATGGTCAAGAAAAAAATATATTCCGCACATTCACAGACCTTACAGTCTAGAGGGAAAACTGGTAATAACCAGGAAATAAATAAATAATTAAGGATGTTAAGTGCCTTTAAGGAAATAAATAAGGCAGGGGGTTGGAAAATTACATGGGGAAATAGACTTAAAAAGAGTAAGCAGAGAAGGTAACTGTCTTAATTAACTTGGGCTGCTATAACAAATACATAGATTGGGCGGCTTAAACAAGCATTTATTTCTCACAGTTTGGGAGGCTGAAAATCCACGATCATGGTGCCAGCATGGTGAAGTTCTGGGTGTGGACCCTCTTCCTGGTTTGCAGAGGCTATCTTTGTGCTGTGTCTTTACATGGCAGAGAGAGAGAAAAAAAAACAAAACAAAACAAACAAACAAACAAAACATGTGCAAGCTCTCTGGTCTCTTCTTATAAGAGGAAACTCCACCCCCATGATCTCATCTAAACCCAATTACCTCCTAATACCCTCAACTCCAAATATCATGACATTGAGTATTAGGACGTCAATATAAGAATTTGGAAGAGACATGGACATCCAGTTTATCACAGCATCCATGAACACACATTCCAAACATGCTTATGAATGATTGGAAGGAGCTAGCCGTGGAGGAGCTAAGGGAACAGCATACATGGAGGTTCTGAGGAGGAAAAGAATCTGTTCTTGTAGTAACTACTGCGAGGAGGCTAATGTGGTGCTGTGGAATGTGGCTGGCATCAGCACAAATGAACTGAGTTCATATCAGGCAGCATCTCGTGAACTATGAAAGGGTGTCTGAATCTCATTTAATGTGTAATGGGCTTCAGGTAGAAACAAACAGTGCCTTCTCTTCTGTGTAGTGACAGGTCATAAACAGAAAAGAGTAGAATAAGGAGATTTTTAAAAGGAGAATATTACATTAGATAAAAGCTAAGTTTTGATATTAGAACAATGTCAATTATTTCCTCAGGTTTTGGTAAATGGAGCAGGTGTGAGATTATTGTCTTAAAAATACCGTGATCATAATAATGCTAAAATAAGAGGTTTGTGTCAATTGAATTGAATTAAATATTGTTTATATCAGGTAAAGATATACATTGCCATATTATAATGGCTTCAATCTGAGTTTGTTCTCTACATTAAAGTAAAATAAAATTGTATCCCTTTTAATTGAAAATAGGCAGAAAATTTTCTATATACACCTTCAAAAAGAGTAGTAGACAAACAAATGTTCCAGAAGGTAAATTAAGGGCAAATTTTCCCCTCTATAATAAGCACAGCCTGGATGTAAAACTGTAATGAGTCAATACATATGTCATACCAAAAGAACCAGTCAAGTCAGGGAGGGAAAATTAGTTGAGCCAGTTTTTTGGCTTAAGAGAAAATTCAAAAGGTAGGTTTGCTGCATTTAACACTTTATAAGAAGTTGTTGGCCTCACATAACTATAATTAGTTTGTTCACTTATATGTAAAATTGATAGAGTAATAACTAACGGAATAGGATTTTGCAGAGAGTTGGATAAAAAGCTTATTGCCTGGGGCCTGACACATAGTAGGAATTTGGTTTATAGCCTGAGATGCAAGCCTATCTGAAACTAATCTGTATTAAAGATAGACTTAGGGGTTTGAGGAAGGTATGCTAATTCATTAGCAGTTAGTTGGTAAACCAGAATAACTAGTTCCAGGTAATTTTTTAAGAAATTATGTCAAACACATCACAAACGAGGAAGCTCTGCTCTTCAAACATTCTACAGCTTTAAAATTCTAACAAAGGAATGCTAAAATTAGATTGAGAAGGTAAGACAGTTAGTGAAATTCAAACATAACTTTAAGTACTCTTGCAATTTTTCTCCTTGCTGGCATGTACTTCTCACCCTCTTACATGTAAATATATCCTCCAAAACACAATAGGTTTAGGAAAATCAATTGAGAACTGTCATGAGTTGAATTGTGTCCTTCAGAAAAAGATGTGATGAAGTCCTAACCCCTAGCATCCCAGAACGTGAATTTATTGGATGTAGGGTCTTTGCAGATGTAATTACGATGAGGCCATACTGGAGTAGAATGGGCCTTAATACAATATAATTGACATTTTTGTAAGAAGAAAAGAACACAGCAAGTGAGACACCGTGGTAAAAGATAGCCATGTGACAATAGAGGCAGAGATTGAAATGATGTGTCTACAAGGCGAGAAATGCCAGTGATTTCTGAGAAATATCAACAGGTAGAAGGGGAAAGGAAAGGTTCTTACCTCCAGACTTTGGAGGAAGGATGGCCCTGCCAACACCTTGCTTTAAGACTTCTAGCCTCCAAAACTGTGAGACAATAAATTTCTGTTGTTTTTAGACACTTGGTTTGTGGTTCTTTGTTATGACGGCCTAGGAAACTAATAGAAGAATATAGCCACATGGAGATCTAGGTGACCGTAGTCTTCAACCTACAGCTGCTTACCCTATCAAAACAAAAGAGGATAAAAGCCATGTAGAATGAGATGATACCAATAACACTTCATTCTTAGCCTTAATTTTGGTCTGGTCAACAGCACACCTGAGCAAAAACAAAACAAAAAAGCAAACGAACACCCCCCCCTTAATTGTATCTTCTCTTCTGAATGATTTATGCATCATGTAAGTGACAAACAAATGCTTATTACCATCAGACCTCCAGAGCCTACACAGTTGTAGAGAAATCAGGTCTATTCCATTGACTTCATGCATCTTTAACAAAGGTGCCATCTGTGGTCCAGCACCAGAAATCTTTTATTAGTGATGATGTATGAGACCAAAAGAACACAATCTGATTTTTTTTCAGACCCAGGTACATGAAATTGAGCTTACAGTGCTGTAAGTTAGGAAAACCTTGTTTTAAAGGCTGTAAATTGCATATAACTTTGTGAATATATTCATATGCATGACATTAAAATAGCTTATGTGTGCCTAAAATCCTAGATTATAAAAATAGCACCCAGCTAAAAACTATATTTTTTTTAGTCAATGCTCTCTCCTTCTGTGACCATTATAGTTTTCTGTGTCCTGTCTTCCCTGCACAGTCTTATTTGCCATCAGTCTTAATCCATTTTCACAAACAAATTAAGGCAGAGAGCCAGATGAGGTATGCAACTCTTCCCTCTATCATTCACTTCCCTATGCCTCTGTCAGAATCAATAAATACTCATTCAAAAGAGGGGGCCTAAGCAACTCATTAATCCTCCTGCTCACTGCTTCCAAAATATGGGTGACTTGTTAGGGGCTCTCTGAAATCTACAATGCAAAATATAGCTCTTGAGCACTGTTAAAGCCCCAGCAATATGGGCACAGAGCATGAGGAGGGGGACTTATCAGTGATAATTACATTGGTAATTCTGTATTCTGTGATTCATCCATGCACAGCATTTTCCAAATAATGTCTTTTTGTCATAAAGGATTATAGGTTGCCTTTGTTTTTGAAGACTCATCCAAGCCTGGTGTCTCCTCATTGTTTAACTCTGTCCTTGAACATAAACAACACTCTGGAAATTTCCAATTTTATACAACGCTTTTCAAAGTGCGTAAAAAGAAAGTTCTTCAAATTCTTAAGAGCGAATAGTGATTGCTGACTTGTTTAGAGTGAATACAGAAGGAGATGCTATACAAAAACTCCTTCAGTGATTCATGTGAAGGATGTGAATATGAACACCATAGAAATTCACACACAGTATTAGAAGTTAAAGGAGCCCACACAAATAGAGACTTTGAACGGATCTATATGCTTAGGTTTCTTACTCTCCTTGACCTTAAAGTTAAAAGTGTGATATCTTGGTCTTACTTTTCTAATTCCTTTGTTGCCTCACGTTTGGGGGACTTTATTGTTATTCCTCACGGATTTTCTAACTCTAAGAAAAGTGATGTGAAAAATAACATCAGTCTGAACTTGGTAACCTCTACTTTATTTTATTTTTTTAGTTTGACTTGGCTAAAAGCCATTATAGCTGCTGTTTATTATTTCAAAATACCGTTAATACTTACTAGGTCATTCATTTCCATGTAAATTTTTCTTTCAGAGAGCTTTGATTTAGAGCAATGTATGCGTTAGAAGGAAAACATCAGATAATTATTTACTCAAAAAACAAGAGAGAGGAGGGTTGAAGAGAGCATATCCCATGAGATTTAAGACTGACAGATTAGCAGCAGAAAACCTTTTGTCTGGAAAGGAAGAAAATGATCCTGAGAACTAAGCACAATATACCTCTCAACTTGTCAAACCAAAGAAGCTTTATATGTGCAAAATGTCCAATTCGCTTTCCTCATACACAACTAACTTGAAAATTCATCTGATTTGGAAAATAACCAAATTGAAAATAGAACCTGTAATCATAAACATAACATTTTTATAGATAAAGAAGAAACCACTGGATTATTCAGAAGTAAGATTTTGCTGCCTCATAATTATAATATTTATTTTAGTGTATTAATTTATTAGTAAAATACAACAAAGTGACAGCCTTTCAATTGGACAGTATAGAGTATCAAAATTTTAGAGATAAAATTAATAGCTTCCACCTTCTAGGGACTTAAAATATTCCAAGAATAATGCTATGGTCTTTATTTTAAAAATTTCCTCTAATCTCCACAATAAACTGATAGATTTAATGGTATTATTTCCATTTAGTAGATGAGGAATCTGAGAATCACAGAGATTAACTAACTTGTCCAAGATCAGATATCAGAAAAGTGGCAGAGTTGGGGGTCATATCTAGTTTTGACTACCCTAAAGTGGATGTTTTGTCTACTTTGGCCAGGCAGCCTTGCAGACCAGATGTTAGAGATGATGCTAAGTCCTACCAATTCACTGAAGTTTTTGAATTCAAAATTACTTCCCCCTTCTAATGAAATGGACACAATTCACTTATTTTGCGACTGGACTACACTAAATTTAACACTATGTATGCTTTCTCATTTTTTCCCTTCCTCCTTCCCTTCCTTCTTTCCTTCCTTCCTAACTTCTCGACTTCCTGACTTCCTGCCTTGCCTTCCCTCCCTTCTTCCTTCCTTCCATCCCTCTCTCCCTCCCTCCTTCTTTTCCTCTTCCCTCCTCATTGTACTCAAAAAATAATCTGAAGGGACTCATAATGTAATGCATATATAATAGAACAACTAAAACCTCTCAAAAAGATTTTATGTCCACAAGTTTGTATGATATCAATGATTAAATATTAGAACTGCTAGTGAATAAAATATTAACAAACAATTTTGACACTTTATTAGTTTAGTGTTTACTTATTCAGCACAATGTGTTGGAATGCCCTTATATTCTAGAGATCATGGGAATGGAAAGACAAATACATCATACATCACAGGCCTTTCCTTCACTACATGTACTGTATTAGGGTAATATACAAAAGTGATGGGAATAGGGGACTAAGTAAATGTGTTCAGGAGAATTGAAAAGGTTTCACAGGAGAGTGGACATCTCAAGGGGTCATAAAGAATATGACAAAATTTTCTAAGAGAGAGAAGAGATGAAAATATTCCTGGAAAATGATGAGTGATGGATTGGCCAGCTCTGCAACTGAAGCAGGTGGTGGTCATTGCCAGGGAAGTGTTACATACAAGATGTAAGGTGAGATAAAAAACCAAAAGGTAGAAGACATGTGGTTATTATGTCTGGAAATTTTGATGTGACACTAAACCATGTGTAGTTTTTATAAATATAATTTGATACAATCTTTCACTTTTAAAAAACTACAAGTACAGAAAACAACAACAAAATGCTTTTCTGAACCACTTCAGAGTAAGTTGCCGCCTTGATGCCCCGTCACACTGAATTCTTTACTGTGTCTCCTATAAACAAGGATATTCTCCTATGTCAACACAATGCAATCATCAAAGTGAGAAAATCAGCACTGATGCATTTCTACCATGTAATTTTCTGACTCTGTTCAAGTTTACTAGTTGTCCTAATAATGTTCTTTACAGCAAACATATCCAGTTCAGAATCACACGTTGCATTTAATTGTCATATCTTTTTAGTCCTCTTTAGTCTGGAGCAGTTCTTCAGTCTTTCTTTGACATTAATGAATTTGACACTTGTATTAGTCTGTTTTCACACTGCTGATAAAGACATACTTGAGAATGGGTAATTTATAAAGAAAAAGAGGTTTAATGGACTCGCAGTTCCACATGGCTAGGGAGGCCTTACAATCATGGCAGAAGGTGAAAGGCATGTCTTACATGGCAGCGGACAAGAGGGAGTGAGAACCAAGAAAAAGAGTTCTCATTATAAAACCGTCAGATCTTGTGAGACACTACCACAAGAACAGTATGGGCGAAACCGCCCCCATGATTCAATTATCTCTCACTGCGTTCCTCCTACAACATGTGGGAATTATAGGACCTACAATTCGAGATGAGATTTGGGTGGGGACACGCCAAACCATGTCAAAACTATTGAAAATGACAGGGCAGTTGTTTTGTAACTATTCCTCATTCTGGGTGTCTGATGCTTCCTCACAATTTGATAAAAGTTATTTAACTTTTGCAGGAGTATCACAAAAGAGATCTTGCTTTTTTTCTCATTGCATCCTATCAAGTACTGTTGAATTTTAATTTGTCCCATTAATGACTATGTTCACTGTGATCACTTGATTAAGATGATGTATGCCCAGGCTTCTTCATTGTGAAATTCCTTTTCTGTTCTTGTAAATAAGTAGCATTTGCATGGGGAGATAATTTGAAACTATGTACATAACCTATTCTTCACTAAACCTTTTTATTCTCTTACTTAATTCAATGGGTTATAATCAGTTACTAGTTACTATCATTATTTATTTTGATGTTTAAAATGGTTGCAGAGTTGGCCAGTGGAACTCCTTCAAGCTGAAATCTGTGTTCTTTTGGCAGCCCACATCATTCTTTGCTTTCTGTCACAGAAGGTTCTAGATACATCTTCATCTTGCGCTTTTCCTGCCCTACCTCTTGCATCAGCAATTTCCCCAAGGAGCCCTGGTTCCTTATAAAGAAGAGTGGTATTCAGAGGCCAACATATGAACACTATATGTGCTCTCTTCTATTAGAGTTAGGCGTGATTGCTACCCTTAGGCTCTCTTACTGAATGTAGTTACAGAATATGTGCACCCACGTATGTGTGTGTGTATGTACCTGTGTATATACATCCACACATAAAGTGGTGCATTGTATTTTTCAAGATGGTTACAAGATTGCCCATCCTTTATGATCTTTTTACAATATAATTGTGATACTCCTCTTCTCAACCAGAAGTCAGGTCTATACTATCCCTGTCACCTAACTTGAATCTGCAAGTGCTATAGACTGAATTGTGCTTGCCCCCAAATTCATAAGTTGGACCCCTAACCACCAATGTGATGGTATTTGGAGGTGGGGCCTTTAGGCATTAATTATGTTTGGAAGAGTTCATGAGGGGAGCCCCTTATAATAAAAGACACCAGATGTGTCTTAGTCCCCTTGGGCAGCTATAACAAAACACAACAAACTGGGTGACTTAGAAACAACATAGATGTATTTCCTATAGTTCTAGAGCCCGAGAAGTCCAAGATCAAGGTGTAGGTAGATTACATATCTGTTGAGGGCTTGCTTTCTTCATAGACAATGTCTTCTCACTGTAACTTCACATGGTGGAAGCAGGGGGCTGGGGGAGCTTCCTCGGGTCCTCTTTTATAAGAGTACTAATCCCATTTATTTGGTCTCTACCCTCATCGTCTAGTCACTTCTGTGTTAGGCTGTTGTTGCATTGCTATAAAGAAATAATTGAGACTGGGTAATTTATAATGAAAAAAGATTTAGTTGGCTTACAGTTCTGCAGGCTGTACAAGCACAGTGCTAGCATCTTCTCAGCTTCAGGGGAGGCTCAGGGAGCTTTTAGTCATGGTGGAGGACAAAATGGGAGAAGGCATCTCACATGGCGAAAGCAGGAGCAAGAAAGAGAGTGGAGGGGAAGGTGTCACACACTTCTTAACAACCAGATTTTGTGAGAACTCACCCATTATTGTGAAGACAGCACCAAGCCATGAGGGACCCACCCCCATGACCCAAACACCTCCCACAAGGCCCCACCTCCAGCACTGGAGATTACAATTCTGTATGAGATTTGGGCATGGACAAATATCCAAACTATATCAACTCCCAAAGTTCCCACATTCTAATACTACTGCATTGGTGATTAGGTTTTCAACATATGAATTTTAGGGGGACAGAAGCATTCAGACCATAGTACCTGGGCTAATTCCATTTCTCCTGGGTCCTATGTCTGTCTTTGATTTATTCTCAAATGTCACTGAAGTTGCTTCCTAATATTAGGTGTAAGAGAAGTAGAATTTCTGAAGTCATGCTTGTATGAAAATTTTTAAAGGATAATTTTTATATAAAATACTAAAGAAATTATGAGACCACTATATATATATGTATATATATATATATATATACACACACACACATACATACGTACATATATATACACACACACACACATATATATATATATATATACACACACACACACATATATATAATTATATATATAATTGCTTTTTCTGGCTTTTTCATCTGACTGAATTATGGACAAAATACTAAACGCATGATTGCAACTACTTTTCAACACCATTGAAATCACTTGGAATCTTTTTTATTAATGACCTTTGGATTCAAAATATAATAATAGTGAAGCTTGTAATCATATATTAGAACACATTCTCTCTAGAAATGGTTTGTACAGCTATTGTGTATAAATATATACATATAAGTATATATATATACACCCTTGTATATATAGAGTATAAACTTTTATATATATATTTATACACAATAGATAAATTGTGTATACATACATGATATATAAATTCTATATACATACAAGTATATAGAATAGATTTTGGGAACTTTTAAATAAACCTTTAGAAAGTAAGAAAGTCAAAAAACTTTGAAAAGCAGAATGAATTAAAAGGGCTAACCCTGGAGAAACCTGGGTTGGGATCTTGTGATGATCTCAAGTCACCTGATTATAATTCAAGTCACTTTCTTACAGTTATGATACCTACAGAATGAAAAATCATTTGGATTAACATGAATTCTCTTTCAAAATTTGAATATTTCTTATAGGGTCTATTAAGTGGTGTCAGTTTGCTACACTTTAAAGCAAGTGGCATCCACCTTTACCCCCTTGAGGTTTCCCTTAACGTCTAGCTGAGATGATCAGCATCAGAGCTGAGAAGGTAAAGATAATTTTCGTGAGTGGTAGGGCAGGCTTAGGGCAGCATATCAAGCTAATGTGACTCTGGCATCAGTACATGGAGGTGACGTTTGTCAGGAAAATCCAAGGGAAAGAGAAGAGATTCCAATTGGGTGATTGAGAATTTCCTCCATCACAATAGGATAACAGACAGTGGGTAGAGGTATGAGAAGCAGGAAATCTGTTAAATATGAGCTAGTTAAACTGGCTGTAATTAGAGGCAGAATTACCTATGGTGGTAAGAATGGGGGACTCCCACATACTCCAGTAGCTTCCCCTGCACTTAAAATAAAACCAAACTTTACTAGGGCTAATAAGGCTCTATATTTGCTTATTTCCTGAACCCCATCTCGCCTCCTACCACCTTCATGTCAGCTCAGTAAATTCCATCCACAATGGCATTCTGGCTATTCTGTGAACATACTAAATTTGTTTTTGCCTTAGGCTTTTGCACTTGATGTTCCCTCTGATGGGAACACCCAGCCCCAGATCACCTGGTGTCTTCTTTATATCATTCAGAGTCCAGCTCAGATGTCATCTCCTCAAAAAGGTCTCCTCATTTAAAATAGACACTCCCCACTTCACCAGCCCCCATTCCCATATTCTCTATCACTTCACTCTGTCAGTCTTTCCAGCACTTATCACTTTCTGAAATTATCTTGTTTGTTTATGTCTTGTTGCCTGACTTCGTCCTGACACTATAAATGCTTGAGAGCAAGGAATTGGTCTTGTTAACTTTATGTCCTCAGTTTCTAAAACCATGACTGTCCTGTGGTAGGTATTCAATAAATGTATTTTAAGTAAATAACTGAATAAATGAACTGGAAAGATGATGGAATAAGAATTAAGAGCTTCAGCCTATTGGTCTGATAGAATGGAAGGAATGAGGATAGGGAACAGCTATGATGTAGTAGGCAGTGTGTTCAGGATGAAATACATGCTCAAGTTTGCCATTGTGTGACATGGAAAAGTTACGCTTGCTGAACCTCAGTTTCTTCAGCTGTGAAGTGGAGATAACTATTGTATACGACCGTTTTGAAGACTTAGTTAGGTGAAACAATAAATATATAAATGTATACAGAAAGAGTAAGGCACAGAGAAGGTACTCCATAAATATAGCCATTATTATCAGTAATATTGAGCGAAATGAATTTTTGCATACTTAGTATGAGAAAGCTTGGGAACTCCCCAATTTTCTTTTCCTAAACTCTGCCTTTTTATACAACTTATTATATGTTTATGAAAGTAATAGAAACTTTAGTATATTTTGCATATCAAACAAAATATTCATATAAGCTTGATTTTCAGATGCAGCCAAATAATAAATTGGACCATAAAGTATGAACACTTTACCTAGCGATGAAAGAGTATACACATGAATAGAAGAGACATAATGGTTAGCCATAAAATATGATTAAACTAGTTGAAACAAAGGGCCTTAGTACGTCACAAGTGGTGAACTCATTAGTGGGTTATAGGGGTTCCACATGAGTGAAAAAATCATGTATAATGGTTGCTCATTACATACCCTATTTATTCCTAGGGTGCATTTTGTGAAGCTTGTTTTTTCAATTAAGTTTAAGCAAGAAGAGAGAAAAACATGATATAAGAATACACCAACCATATTTTAAAACAGTATTATTTTAGGAAGTCAGTCTATATTAATCAAAAGAAACTTTACCCTTGATGATAAAGCGAGTTTTGTGTGCATTCCATGTATAACCAAGCCATTTAACATTGCTTTAAAATGAAGACTTTTATGAAGCAGAACCTTTTGATGGGCTATTTCCACGAGGATCATGCTGGCTTGTTCCCTCTCTCCTTTTTATTATTACTATTAGTGCTTTTGTAGCTCCAGTTCTGCCACCACGTCTGTAAGTTTGTGTAGTAAATTAACCCATGCTGGGCCTCACTTTCCACACTTGATACTGGGAGAAGGACATCAAAGTTACCTGTATTGTAACTCAAAACAAGACAATACCTGTGAATATTGGAAGCACATCATATACATGCAGTGTGCTATTACAGAGCACTTAGTGCATGCCTTTGTATCATGGGTGTCCAGTAAATATTAATTAAAAAAAAAAAACAGAGCCAGAGCCATGTTGATAACTGGCCCAGCCTTTTTTTTTTTTTTTTGAGACAGAGTCTTGTTCTGTCTCCCAGGCTGGAGTGCAGTAGTGCTATCTTGGCTTACTACAACCTCCACCTCAGAGGTTCAAGTGATCCTCCCAGCTCAGCTTCCCAAGTAACTGGGAATACAGGTGTGCACCACCACACCCAGCTAATGTTTGAATTTTTAGTAGAGATGCAGTTTCACCATGTTGGCCAGGCTGATCTTGAACTCCTGACCTCAGGTGTTCCACCTGCCTTCGCCTCCCAAAGTGCTGGGATTACAGGCATAAGCCACTGTGCCTGGTCTGGCCCAGCTTTTTTATATGGAGATTGGTGGGTCAAGAATCTGACTTACCTGTCTCACGTTTTTCCATATATGTGATGGTATGGAATACATGTGAGAGAGGGAAGTCAAATTCTTGACCCACCAATGGGGCAAGACCAATGATAAACATAGGAAACTTACAAATACTTATACTTTTCTCTAAGAATATTGTAAGGATTAAAATTTGGCTCTATTTCACTAATTCTAAGCAAATGTTTTAAACACTTCTTTACTTGAAAATGTTGTACCCTTCAAACTGGTTTTCAATGGAGCCACTTAGTAGATTTCAAAATATATTGTAGTATTTTAATATGGTATATACCTGCTGAAAATGTTCATTTTTGAATACAAGTTTGGAAAAGCAATGTTAGACAACATTATGTTGTTATCAAAATGCTAAGGACTCAAATTTTCAAGTTTAATTTTTGGACCCTTTTAAAATAATCACAGGAATAATCTCTGGTAGTTTATGACACAAGGGCACAAATGATAGACTAAGATAATTAAATTAATGATTAATTTTATAATTCAATAAAATAGATTAAGCTGACTGTGTCATTAATTCAGAGAAAAATATTATTTATTGAGAACAAAATTTTCATCTAAAACATCCATTTACCTCAACACTTCCTTTAATTTGCCAATTTGTTCCATCAGTCAATCCCTTCATTTATCTTTCCAGGAATTTTTTTTTTCAGTGTGTGATAGGCAAGACACCAAGTTCCAGAAAACAGAAATAGTTAGGAATGGTCCTCATGTTGGAAGTGGTCACAGTCTCATAAGCAGTGCTAATGAAAAAGACAAATACCAAATATATCTCTCTAATAAAGGCAAAATATTTTGAGTAGTAATTTTCAAAGTAACTAACCAAACTTAAAATATTAATAGCTCCTTTGGGCTGAGCTGCTAGTTTAACTATCTAGGCTGATATTTTAAGTAGCTTCATTTTATATAGCAAGTTAGTACAGACCATATAGATTAAGGTTTGAGAGCATGGACACTCAAGCCAGGTTCTGTGGATTTGAATGTCAGCTCTCCTACTTATGAACTGTGTGACTTCTATCACATTACGTAATCTCTCTGGGCCTCAGTTTTCTCATTTGCAAAATGTTCATAATGAGAGTATCTACTTGACAGATTGCATAGTTTAACTGCAAAGCTCTTAGAATAGTACCTAATGAAGTGTAAGTTATAGAAGTATTAGTGGTTACTAGCAAAATAAAATATTTATTTAAATGAAGCATAATAATTGTAATTATGTGATACAATAATTATGTGCTATATATGTATAGATGTATACATAGATGACAAATGAAGCACTGTTGTGATATTAGTGAAATGAAAGTTATGTCTTAAATGAGGAACATACTGTTTATATTGAGATGGAAGTATAACAAGCCTTCCTCCTTTGTCTTTCCAGGAAATAAACTTTCCCTTTTTATAATGAATATTGGTTGAAGTGAAGTTGTGTTGATTTGGGCTGGCATTAATCAATGTTGTACTCCTTCAACATTGAGGATACAGAAAGGAAAAGATTTCAATGAAATAGAATAATTCTTAGCCATAGACACGTATGCTTTTTAAAAACTTAATTCCTTTCATAGGATTAATTAGTACTACAACAGTAGGATCTAATTATAGGTCTTACCATAAAAAATAAATAAAGAAAGAAAGTTCTGCAGCTCTGGATCTTATTTAGGGAATGTAGAAAATTTGTAGTTTTTTTTTTTTTTTTAAACTTCAACAAAATGCAGCACCCTCCCATATTGAAATGAAATAATAAAACCCCCATGATTTGAGTTGGGTAATGTTTTATTATGATATTTTAATGGAATTGGCCTTCATCCTGGAGTGGAACAAAATAAACAGGTCAGCTAGTTTCTAAACCCTGCTAAGTATAGAGTATTTATTTAGACATCCCTTCTCTAAGAAGGAAAACAGAGTCCCTCGCAGCTAGTGGCTGTGGTAACCAAGTTACTAAGTAAGCAAACATTGAGTAAAAGGAAGAACTCCCAAGGAAACCAAGTAGAATCCTTCTCACTAAAAAATCTACTTTCTGGTTTATAGTTGCCTTGACCCTCTCTCATCAAGTGTGGTATTCTGTTTTAGTAAGAAAGACTGTCCTCAGTAAGCGTTCCTTTTTTTTTTTTTTTTTAGGCAGAGTCTCAGTTGCCCAGGCTGGAGTGCAGTGTCGCGATCTCAGCTCACTGCATCCTCCCGGGTTCAAGTGATTCTCCTGCCTCAGCCTCCTGAGTAGCTGGGACTACAGGCATGCACCACTACGCCTGCCTAATTTTTGTATTTTTAGTATAGATGGGGTTTCACCATGTTGGCCTGCATAGAATTTAGAGAGTATTAATTTGCTATTGTTGCATACCTTCTTGCAGTTTTTCAAAGTGGGTAACTGACATTCTTTACTGCTATATTCAGCTGTAATTTTTCCTGCTATATAATATTTCTGTGGAAGAATATATCGGTATCACAATTTAGGTGTCATTCTCCTGTAAGCAGACATTTGGATTGTTCCTAGTTTTATTTTTTATTTATTTACTTGTTTTTGCTTTTGTACACAATGCTTCTGTGACTGTAATGAAAGCATAATACTGAATAGATAAAATGCATAAGGCTAAATGTAACTTTAATAAAGCTCAAAAACAAGAAAAACTTTGTCATATCTTGTTAGGGAATATATATATATGTTTAAATAAAACTAGTTTTTAATGTAAGAGAACGTCAAACATAAAATTTCATGAGAATGAAATGTGAAAGGAGAGAAGCACACTGCCTAAAAACATTTGTAATAACCCTTTCAAAATATTTACAGAAGGTTCCAGAAGGTTCATTTTTAAAATTATGCTTCATAACTTAAGTAATATTTGATACATATAAAGTGTTAAATATTTTCAAAGTTAGGAGATACATTATCACATTTGTTTTTCAAACCAGCCCTGTGTGTCAGGCTGAATAGATATAATTGCCCTTGTTTTACAGATGCCGGAAGTGAGATTTAAGTCATTTATCCAAGGCCTAATTGCTGCTAAATCTTGGCAAAGGGCTAGAAACTTCATTTTATTAATCAATCGATTAATTAATTTGATAAACATTTTCTCTATTACTTCTCCTTTTTGAAAAAGGCGCTACTATCCACCTAATGATACAGCTACAAACCTGAGAGTCATTTGAAATGCTTTCCTTTCTCTACTTCAACCAATTAGCTATCAATTCCTATTAATATTATCTCCTCAAGAGACTTAACTCACCTCCTTTCTCATTATCCCTATGGGCATTACCTCATAGATCAATTCATCTTTGTTTTACCCTCATATGATGACAACTGCCTTGCCATCTTGTCTACAGTCAATTATTATAGTCTTGTCCCAATCAAATTTATCGTCAAAGTGAAAATCAGAGTACCCCACCATGTTTTTTTGTTTTGTTTTGTTTTTCTGTGGTTTCTTTTTTTTTTTTTTCTTTGTTTGAGATGGAGTTTCACTCTTGTTGCCCAGGCTGGAGGGCAATGGTATGATCTCGGCTCACTGCAACCTCTGCCTCCAGGTTCAAGCGATTCTCCTGCCTCAGCCTCCCAAGTTGCTGGGATTACAGGTGCATGTCACCATGCCCGGCTAATTTTTGTATTTTTAGTAGAGATGGGGTCTCACCATGTTGGCCAGGCTTGTCTTGAACTCCTGACCTCATGTGATCTGCCAGCCTCAGTCTCCCAAAGTGCTGGGATTACAGGCATGAGCCACTGCGCCCGGCCAGAGTGCCCCTTTTAATATGTGACTCTGACTTCCATTCCTAATATTGTATAATAGCTCCATATTTCCTCCAGGGCGAAGCTGATGCTTCTCTTTAGGGCATCACAAAGCCGCCCACAGCCTGTCTTCTGCTGACACCTCAAATTCATTTCTTACTATTTCACCCACTCACACCATACCCTCCAAATACTTGGTGGTTTCCAGGACACAGACCCTTTTAAAATACCCTCACAATTCTTTTTGGAGAGCTACATTTTATCAGATATATTAGAGTAAACTCATATACCACATTAATAATTTATAAATAATATTTGAATGAGATTGTAGTTGATTGGTTGACATAATAACACTTTTAATAGAATTAAATCCATTAATTCATTAAATACTTAAAAGTGGCTACTACAGGCAAGGCCCTAGTTTAGGTACTAAAATACCTAAAATATTTCTACTTCTGTGGAGCCTACATTCCATTTTTAACTAGATTTTAATATAATTAGTTACTCATTTATTTGATTTTAAAATTCTCCCTTTTATATTTTAGAACAAAAAAAAAAACTAGGTTTTTTGTTTGTTTGTTTTAGGTCAGCCAGCCTTTGAAAGCTTATGGACCCTTGGCATTCTACCTCCAGTACTGTCCTCTGGGTAAAACAATCCTGCCATGGCACTGTAATCATTCCTATCTCCGAACTCTTCATACACGGCTTCGTCTACCTGCCACAATTTTATACCCTATTCCCTACTCCCTGAAGCCCAGATGAACCTATTCACCTAATCATTATGTGTCTTTCCAGATAAAGTTCAGGTTCCTCTATCTCCAGATACCTTTCCCTATCTAACCCACCAGCTTCATTCTAGATCTAAATTTAGTAAAAACATATCATATTGCATCCTTGCTCAAAACTCCTTATTGGCATCCTATCATGCCACAATAAAACCGAGGGACATTACCATGGTTTTAATAAGATTTTTATATAATCTGTCCATTGGCTAACTTTCCTTGTTCATTTCCTCCCAGTCTTCCTGTGCCCCTCGCTGCTGTAGTCACACTGGCTTTCTTGCTATTTTGACAGGAGCCAAATTTATGCTCTTGCCCCAGGACCTTTGCACTTGCTGCTGCCCAGCTTGGAGTGCTGTTTTTTTATACACTGGAATGACTTCCTTCCTTACTTCATTCTGATACCTGCCAAAAACTTGCCTCATTAAAAATCCTTCCCTAACCACCACGTCTAAAATAGGACTTTGCTGCTGCTCTCTTTCTCTTTTCCAGGCTTTAATTTCTTCATTGCACTTACCATTTCCTAACAGGATGTTACATATTTAGTTGTTGATTTTCTGTTTCACTCACAATAATGTAAACTCTAGGAAATCTTGCCTGTCTTGTTCATTGCCAAATCCCTAGCACCAAGGAGAATGACATATAGCTGAATTTCGATAAATATATTTTTGATTAATGAATGAATGAATAATACCACAATAAACTACAGTCTATGCAGGTGTTACAATCAGGGAGATATGTGTTCCTCTGTGCCCTTTCGTGATGCATTAATGACAATGTCTATTTATTTGCCTTTACACTGTACTATCCCGTCAACTGCTAATAGATAGAAACTATGCCTTATTCATCTCAATATTAGGATGCAGTGGGACTAGAGTAGGCTCAATTAGTATTTTCCATAAGAAAATGCATTATATAGTATTTACTGTGCAAGGTACTGGGCTAAGTGTTCAGAATTTAAATCATTTATTAGTCTCAGAACTTTTCATGGGATCTGAGAAACATTTTGTAACATGAGAAACAGTTTGTAAACATTTTGTAGCTATTCCATAAACATTTTCTAGCTAATTATTTAAAACAAAGGGTTGCATTGTGTATCCATGGGTTATATTGATGGGGTTATATTGGTGAGAAAAATATATTTCCCAACTCAGTCATTATTCATACTTGAGACAATCTCAAAACAAAATTTACAGAAATTCAATGAACTAAAGAACTAAAGAGAATAACAAATATAATGCTAGGTATTTTAAAACATCTAAAACACAAATATTGTCTCATCTAACTCATAGTTCATTGAAAGGAAAGAGAAAGGCAAAGAACCATTCTGAATAAATCCTCATAAACAGTATCATCTGCTTCTAGGGAATCTTTAATTAATAAATTAATACATCCCTTCACTCATTCAAACATGCTTTTAAATGCCTTAGCAAAGATATATCAGGCCAAGGCCGGTGGCTCATGCCTGTAATCTCAGCACTTTGGGAGGCCAAGGCGAGTGGATCACGAGGTCAGGAGTTTGAGACCAGCCTGGCCAACATGGTGAAACCCTTTCTCTCCTAAAAATACAAAAATTAGCTGGGTGTTGTGGTGGGCGCCTGCAATCCCAGCTACTTGAGGGGCTGAGGCAGAAGAATCTCTTGAACCCAGGAGGCGGAGGTTGCAGTGAGCCAAGATTGTGCCCCTGCACTCCAGCCTGGGCAATAGAGCTAGACTCTCTTGGTATTTACCCTCTTTCATTAATTCATAGCTTGTTCTTTTCCCCTGAGATGTGGCCATTTTCTCTCTTCTACTCCTCTGCAAGTTGATGACCAAAACAACTTCTTCTCAGCATTAGTAAAATTTTAGATAGGATTTTTCCTCGCTATAAACCCATTGTCATCCCCACATGTGGAAGGAGGGACGTGTTGGGAGGTGATTGGATCTTGCGGGTAGTATCCCCCATGCTGTTCTTGTGATAATGAGTGAGTTCTCAGGACAGCTAATGGTTTAAATATGTGTGGCAGTTTCCCCATCTCTCTCTTTCTCCTGCCAGCAGGTAAGACATACCTTGCTTCCCCTCAGCCTTCCGCCATGATTGTAAGTTTTCTGAGGCCTCCTCAGCCATGTGGAACTGTGAGTCAATTAAACCTCTTTTCTTTATAAATTACCCGGTCTCAAGTAGTTCTTTACAGAAGGGTGAAAATGGACTAATACAGCCCCCGAGCTCCCTTTTCTTAGAGTGTTTACTTTTAAGACCTTGCAATTGTAAACACTTTCTCTGCGTCTTTGAGATGTAAGTCTCCCAGCTCTTGCCAGTTTTACAACCCAGGAATCTCTTTCTCAAGGACCTGGGAACCATCTCTTTGAAACATTAATTATCGAGAAAAATAGCACCCTTTTCTCCCAGTCTTTCTGGGAGGATAGGAGCCTAACTTAGACAATCGCCAATTAGCAAATAGGAATGGCCTGATTGCACTGAGCAGCCTCTTCTCTAATGTCCTCCAGTACTTTTTCACTAGCTCACTTCTTTGTTTCACCTGAAACAAAGGCTGGAGACTTTTTAAACACTGGGGTGAGCTAGTGAAAAAGTACTGGAGGACATTAGAGAAGTCTCCAGCCTTTGTTTCACCTTTGTATCTTTTCTTGCAGCTCTGACCTCTACTGCAGTATTTTTGCATACAGTCTTTCTTGCCCGTTTGACTGTATTTGGTGCAATTTTTCTTTGAGAGTTCCTACCATGTGTCTTTGTTCTGCTGCTCTGTGAGGTAGTAGGACCATTTTGTTTATTTCTTTGACTAAAGCATGTATCAAACTTGACTCATGTATATACCTCTTTTTTAAAGAGGAGGAGGGAATAAGCTTCTTACAGACCTCCTGTAATCTATGGAATACATTTTTATTTAAATTGTATACTGCAAAACAGAACTTTTAGAACTGGTAATATTTTTTAAAGATTATTATCAAAATAAAAAATACAAATTTAAAACACTATTGTGGACATTTTTACCCTGAAAATGTGTGCCCTGTGTCCTTCCAAATTATCCAGAGATCCTGCGAACCCAGTTTGAGGAACTCTACTGAAAAGCTTGACCAATTCTCTTCCTGGTGAGGTACTCATTATTATACAAAAATGTAGTAACAGCTCACCTTGAATTTTGTTTTGGTTTTCAATTTTAAAAGAACAGTGCTTCTAAGAGCCAAATAAATGGACAGAGAGAATCATGGATCCACAAGGAACCTTTCTAGTAAAGAACTGTGGCCTTTAATGTATAAAGCTATAATTTAGAATTTTCTTTATTTACTTTCTTTACTCCCTTGTGTTCATAATAAAAACCCTATGATTTTGCCTTCTAAGAGTGTGAACTTCACCACTGGTGCAAATGGCCAGTCAGCTTTTGCTCCCCTTTTTAGCCCTGCCATGGAAGAACTGGCAGATGACAATCTAGGATTACTGCATGCTGTTTAGACAAATTATTTGCCCATGTAACATTGGCTAAGGAACTCATGGTTTTAAAGTGGGAGCATTTACTGAAGTAACAGGGGAAAACAAAAACAAACAAAAAAAAAACATAATAAGAAGTTGATTTTGCTTATGGTAAGTGAAACAAACAAACAAACAAAAACCTGCTTTTTCAAATAAAAGTGCCATATTTGTCTTAGTAGTATCAACTTTAATCAATACTCAGCATTGCTTTTTGCTTATCTGTGTACAATATATGCATAATGTATTTGAAAGTTTACTAGGATAAACTGTATAACACGTCATAGGAATACTTAGAACAGACGAACAAGAGGAAATGTCTTACGGACCTTTACCTACTCGTACAGATGTCACTCCTTTACAAAATAAATTTTTCTGATAAGGTGCTGAATAAATTAATAAAGGTAGCCATTTAATATTTGTAAACTAATGCTTAATAATTTATAATTTTTAAAAACTCAAGTATAACCTATGCTATTTACAGAAATCTGGACATGTGAGAAAAAAAGAAAGAAAACTATGCAGAAGTGTATCCAGCACCTAGGACTTTTTGTCAAAGAAGACGTAGCAGCTGTGAGGGGGCTGCAGGTAGGGCAGGAGGAGAACCTGACTGCAGGGAAGTAAAAACAACTAAAATATATATTCTGTTCAGGATTGTAAATACCAAGAATGCACACCTGAAGGAATTCTTGAGATGTAAAAACTTGAAAGATTTGTGGGTTTTAGACTGTCGATATTAAAAACAAATATGATAGTATGAAATAGTTAGTGGATATTTCTCCCCCCGCACAAGCACTTTGGTCACACTTTCATGATCCACGTATATAGTATGTGATCCGTAATTCTAGATTAACTAAAATACAAGAAACTTCTGTCCTTAACTCCAATGGGAAGTACACGTGTAAGCTTTTCTCCTCTGAAGAGAAAGGTAAAATCAGTGTCCTTTAAGGCAGCAGTGGCTTTAATGAGGATGAGTCATATCACTTAGGGAGGCAAACCTATTTATTTTTATTACACAACACTTTTAACTGGGGCCATTTTAAAAAGGCCAAATGACAGGGCCAAGATTAGATGTGTCCTCAGTAGACAGCTGGCATGCTCCTGCCAGAATGAGGATTTAGAGGAGTGAGGCTGGTAAGAAATAGACAACAATTTGGGGAAGGGGAAAGTGGAGAAAAATTAACTCCCTGAAGAAAGTAACAAATAAAAATAAAAAATAAAAACAGGTCACAGTAATTTCCCTCAGGACTGAAACATGTGACATGAGCTTTTGCATTAAGTTAGAAATTTCAGAGTAAGAGGCACTAGAAAAGAATGCAAAACCATGGGAAACAATGTTCCTATTGTATTTGGGAAGGCTCAAATAAATAGTTCCTGTGTCTTTTTCCAAACCAACCAGCTAAATGATGTGCTATTTATTTAAAAGAACTTGCTTCTAGGAAAAAGGGATTAGGCATATTTTCCCATTTAACAATCAATTACAGTAGAGAATTTAAAAACTAATCAACTAAGGTGCATACGGTACAAAGAAACTTCCTTACACTGCAGCAAAAAAGTGTTCCAAGACTCACCAAGTGACAGTATTTATTGGACACATGACATCACTTAGGCAAATTCATTGTTGACCCTTTCCAAAAGTTATGATGCTGTTTGTAGCTTCTAAAACTGACAGTCCTGTCTACATTTAGCCTTTTCAAGGATGTCACGCTCCTGCATTTAAACCAAGCAATAATTTATTGCATAAGTATGCATTTGGGTTTAGGGATCTTTTAATGAACACATTTTGCTCTTTTATTAGAAGCAGTATAAAACTCTTGTCCAAGACTAAAATAAGTAAATAGCTCTCCAGAAGTAAATGGTGTACTTCTCTGAGATATGCGGATTCAAAAAAAGTCAAAGGTTTTATGCACCAAGTAATTATGGAAGGAATCAACTGCATCTTCTTGATCTCATCTATAGAAGCTGCAGGGAAGCTGAAGTTGTATTTTATAGCCATGCACCTTTAGAAAGAGATGGGGCTCTGCCAGGGGATCCTTAGGGATACAGAGGAAAGAAATGATACATCAGTATTGTCAACAAGTTTTATATATATATATATATATATATATATATATATATATATATATAAGTTATGTTATATATATATATCAGTTATGTTATATATATATCATATATATGATATGTATATCAGTATGTTATTTTTTATATATATAGAAGAACTCAACAATTGTTTGTTGAATTGATAAGAAATGACTTTTAATATGGCAGCTATGAAAATTTCTGCACAGCACAAAACATTGCCACAGAGAGTAAAAGTTAACTACAAAAAGAAAAAAAGAAAGTTTTCTAGTAGATTGAAACTTGTGTAGTTGTGAGATCTCAAGGATTTGGAGGCAGATTGGGGGAATAAAACGGCAAAAAAACAACTTAATGTAATTTTTTTCTGATTTAAACATTAAGAGATGAGGACTTTATAATATATTATCTTGCTATGTGATTATTCCTCAATTCAGGAATAATTAAAAACAGTAGTTTCTTTGATGATATATACCTTGTATATTCTTTTATATATTTAAATGTGCATCTTTTTATATACTTTTTTTAGCGAATGAAATGATTCTATACATTTAAAAAATTAAATAAAAACAATACTATTCATTCCTTACAGATTGATTCTCTGCTATATGAATAGTATAAATTGAGGAATATATGAAAAGACTAAGATGTTTGCGAATATACAACTATTTAATAAATAAAGCAAAGAGCATATAGCACAGTAAGGGTTGATTTACATTTGAGGAGAAATTTCCTAAAAATGAACTCCTTAAAAGGAATTTCAAGGTTACTTTGTGTGGGGAAAGATGGTTCTCAGGCTGTCTCTCAATTAGCAAGAGAGAAAATGAAATGAAGTTTAATTATTGTATGTTAAAAATAGTTTTGTAGGTTGGCTGCTGAGAGAGGAGTTGGTAGAACCCAGAGAAAACACAGAGTAAGGAAGAATAAGTGAAGAGTGTAAGTGAATAGAAGGACAAGAAGAGAGGCTTAGGGAGAATTTCTGTGAGGGAGAAGGGTAGGGGACATGGAGGAACAAGGTAGCTCATCTTCAGCTAGATATCATTTATTATGTAGTCACAAAAAAAATAAACCTGGTCTTTGTTGTCAGACTTTCAGAGTTTGGTACAGACATCACCTTTTTTTAATTGCAATTTAAAAATATTTTGATGTACACTATACAGTCAGGAAACTATATTTCTAACATATATTGTTTCGACACTCAAAAACATTCTATCCTGGAATTTTCAATAATATACAAATGTGAGATTCATATAATTAAGTTAGCATCAGACTTAAACAATTAACCCATAGTCATTTTTATTTTATAAGCGACGCCTCATCTCCTGCTGCCTGTCTGCTTTCTACTATTTTGAAGTGAACGCCAACATCATACCATTTTATCCATAGATATTTGTATCTCTCCTTAAAATACAAGGACTTAAGGACAAACTAAAACCACAATACCATTGTCATATGTAAATTATACATAAGTTTTACCACCTTTTTCTGGCAGAATTTTATTAAGTAAGAGATTTCACTGATGGAATAATAAAATATAAAATAGGAATGGCATGGATATATATATTTCATATAATATAATATAATATAATATAATATAATATAATATAATATAATATAGGAATGGCAAGAAGTGAGACATGGAGCAGAAATGGACAACTCAGGAAAGCTGAAATTTAAGGTGAAACATTTAAGCTCAGAGAGAATTCCCATATTTATAGGAACACCAAAGTTTCCTCTCTGGTAAGCTGACTAAAACCACTTTTATTTGAGGATCTCAGCAAAAGAGTATTTCAGAGTGCTGGAGGCCTGAGACTTGGGTACACCCAAGCAGTCAACCACTGGGTTACATATGATTGTGAGCAATGTAGATGTTCACAGCACTTCTCCATGGACTAATCTTATCAATTCAGAGGTGCATTTTGTTAGACCATACATTTAAATTGTACCTAAATGTCAATGTTTTAAAAAAGGAAGAGGCATTTGGTAACATAAAACACCTTTTAAAAAATATAATTAAAACACTCAGTTACTTGATATGTAAGTTAGACTATTCTTTGATCAGGATTGAGCAAGTTAACTCTGTGGTGTTAATTCTATGACTGCTGATTCGGCTTTCTGTTGGATCCAAGCTAATTAAGTGGTAGATCTGCAGTTACGAAACTCTTCTGCCTAACTGGTCTTAAGTGTGTTTATTAATTATATAGACACAATTTTTTTTAGAGTTTTCCCTAGACTGATGCACGCACAGGCACACACCCACACTATATATAGCATAGGCACACCTATAACCATACTGTTCATGATGAAGATAATACAAAAGAACCTGAGCTTCAAATTTTTATTTAAATAGTATAATTTTTCCTTGATGCCCATGATAATCATACATCAAATGACGGTAATTCAAAACAGAACCTACTAGAACTTACCTTGAAGGATACATGAAGGGTCAGTTATCATCTCAACACATCCTGTATAACAATCTTTCTCCCTCTTTGGTCCATTAACCAAAGGGCACGTTAACTCCTAAAAACAGATTTTGAAGAATTCCAACCATGAATGGTTAATGCCCATTAAGTTGGAGGCTGCACCGTGTAAAGAGCGTGGCTTCAAAATCTCTTCTCACTAGAGTCAAGTAGATTTCTCTTTCTCTGAGTTTTGGTGCCTTTGTTGAATGAAGTTGGTAAGTTGACACTACTATCTTGAAGGATCTTTGTGAGTACAAAATAAGACTACCAGAGTAAAGTTCCTATCAGTTGCTGGCTACATAATAGTTGTTCAATAAACACTATTTCTGTCTACCCTCCAAGCTTGTTTTGTGCCATAGATTCACAGGCTAATGATGCAGAATGAATCATGTACTTGTCTTAAGATTCTAGGGAAGAAAAGCTTTTCCTTGGGTAAGGTTAGTGCCTGTCAATTATTGTCCCAATAACCTGAACTGCATCTCTTAACCTTTTCCAGTTTATTAAAAAACCTCCTTAGATTGCCAAAACGAACTGAGATATTTACTGACTCTTCTAAAGCATGAGTTATCAAGTTAATTTACGAGCTCAAGTGTTTCAGAGTACATTTGCCAGTGAGATTAGAAACATCTCCACTAACCATCAGAACTTCTTATATTGTTACCTGGCTGAATACTTAGACACTGCTAGGAAAACTAGGGGAAATTAATGAGGTAACAATAAAAATATCAGTGAAGATTTCTCTTCTGAAGAATGCATAAATTGATGTTCCTTTCAAGCCTTCAGGAAGCTCTGGTTGATTCTGCATTATGATGTCTGCTTATGAGATACAATAAAATGCCTGTCATCCACTGTGTACTACAAAGCCATTTGTGAGTTATGAGTGATGAACATTGGATCTGAGTTGATCTGGAGATTGCCTGGACAATATATATAAAGAAAAAACAAAATTTTGATGAAATAAATTGAGAAGTGAGCAAGTATATTTAACTTTGGGTAATGTTTGTTTAGCAATAGTTATCAGCACATATTTTTAAATGATGGAGCTAATTACAAATGAATCCCTTCTCATTAAATTAGGTTTTGAAGGACCTTTACTTAAAATCCTCTTGTTAGTAGTTAAACAGTGGTCTTCATTTTATCCATTTCATTGATCACCATGGAATTAACCCCTCAAATTAGTCTGGATCAGTGTGGATTTACATTATAAACTACAAAAGTTTGTCCACAGGGATGGCAGACATGGCAAAAGAAATTAACACTTCAAAACACTACCAATTTAGTGACCTACTTTTAGGGAAGATTAACCTATAGCGAGGATGTGAAACTAAATTAAATTCCAGTTAAATACAAATATTTTTCTTCACATACTGAGTCATCTGCTTCAGACCCCACAGGGTGCAGTGTTACCTTGCTTGGTGAACTGCATAATTATTTATAGATTTTTCTCAACACTAAGCTTACCCCTTATCTAACTTTACACAGGCAGTCTAGTTAGTGACTCTTACAGAGATACCTTGCTGCATAATATGGTCCCACATGGTAGGTCAGGGCCCAGCTGCCCCTGCCCCTTTTTCCATTCTTTGTTGTTGGTTTGAAAATATCAGGACAATGACTGCATGCCACATTGGTTTTATAATTTCTAATCTAATGTCTCTACAGGGGACTCTAATTCCATATAATGTGTATAAAACAAAGAGATAAATGTTACTTATTATTGAGAATGGAGGTTCAAGGACCTATTGTGAAGCTTTCTACTTATTGATGGAATTCTAAAACTAGGTTATAAAAAAAGTCCTTTCTTGATGAAGCATTAGTGATAAATAGCAAGCCTTCAGGAAGCTAAACTACTTAACACTTAAAGACACTTTCATTTGAAGCATTTTAATAATACAAACTAATAATGGAATGCAAATTGTATTTCTTAGAGGGTATAATATTCATTCTACAATGAAACTGAATCAGTGCTAATTGGATGAAATCTTTAAGTTTGTAAAAGTAACAACGTGTGCGTGTGTGTGTGTGTGTGTGTGTTTTAAAGAGAATAATTTTTGACTTGTATGATGCATATGGTTGACTTAAGGCCAACTAGATATGTTTCTCTTGCTTAGGAATAGAGGAAAAGGCTGGGTGCAGTGGCTCACACCTGTAATCCCAGCACTTTGGGAGGCCAAGGTGGGCGGATCACGAGTCAAGAGATCGAGACCATCCTGGTCAACATGGTGAAACCCCATCTCTACTAAAAATACAAAAATTAGCTGGGCATGGTGGTGCGCACCTGTAGTCCCAGCTACTCAGGAGGCTGAGGTGGGAAGATAGCTTGAGCCCAGGAGTTCAATACTAGCCTAGGCAAAAAAGGGAGATTCCATCTCGATAAATAATTTTAAAAAAATCAGCCAGGCATGGTGGCATGTGCCTGCAGTCCAAGATATTTGAGAGGTTGAGGCAGAAGGATCATTTGAGGTTAGGAAGTCAAGGTTGTAGTGAGCCATGATCACACCACTGCACTCCAGCCTGGGTGACAGAGCAAGGCCCCATCCAAATAAAAAGAAAAGGAAAAGAAAAACTTCACAGAAATATACTGGTGGTAAGAGGATTTTCTTACTATTCAATGTAGAAATAAGTGGAAAAAGAAAGAGTTGATCATGGTGTCACGTAAGGTAAGGCCTTCCGGCACTGGACAGAATGAGATAAAGTCCAGATTCAGTTGCCAATTGCCTTTGTTACCCTTAAAATAGCCTTAAGAAAATTCCTTATACGTAACTGCTATGTATAAAGTTTGAGGGACAGATACCAAAATGTCAGTGTATTAATTTGCAATTAGAACTGGGGCAATCATATGGACTTGAATAGTTTATTTTCTTGATTAGCATATTCTCTCTCCATTATCAAGCTACTTGGGAAACTAAATCACAATCAGGAAAATGCTATTTGAGAACAGAAAGAGTTAAATAAATTAAATATGCAATGGCCTCATTCAAAGGTGGCGTCACACACCCTTCTCACGAAGAGGCTTGCCAGTGGGAGTGGAAATTAGTAAAGTCCATCAGCTATCATCATCTCCATCCACCTCCATTGAAGGGATAGCCTTGCTGTATGGATTAGAAACAGCTGACAGCTGAAGGCTGCATCTTCATCCACACTAAGAAGTGTTTGAATGGGCTGCTAATAGGCACCTCTATGACTCTCTTTTTATGTCCATGCTGACCAGTT
Source organism: Homo sapiens (assembly GCF_000001405.40). Taxonomy (NCBI): domain Eukaryota; kingdom Metazoa; phylum Chordata; class Mammalia; order Primates; family Hominidae; genus Homo; species Homo sapiens. Next base: position 113,817,894 of record NC_000007.14, on the reverse strand, counting down.
GCCTTCCTGACGGCCACAGTCCTTTTGAAGGGATGTGTGTGCATGCATGTGTGTAAGCATGTGTGTGTATAATTGGATTAGAGTTAAACCCAAATGTATGGTCTATGAACTGCCCTGTCTCTTTCCATTAACTGAACATCTCTTCTCTGATCCATTACTTTTTGCTTTTACAATTTACTTCTCTGTCACAAACTCATTTACGTCCAAGTTCTCTGAGGAACATTTCCGTGTAGCTAGCTTCATACTTATTAAGAAATGTTATTATACACTTTATTTCACTAAAAAAAATAAGTGGCCTTGCCTTGACATAACAATTCTGACAAACTAGTAAAACTGTTCTACCTCTTCAAGTCGTGAAGTCTTTATGGTAGAGCTAAATAAATTTCCATAGGATAATGCAATGATTTAATATAATAAATATTTGAGGTTTTTGTGATTGTATCTATCTACTTAATGGTATATAGCATCTGATCACCCCCCATGTAAATCCTATGTTAAGTATCATGTGAGCTGACATGACATGAGGCAAAGTAAATTTGAGATATATTCCTAAGTTTAGGCTCTGTATTATCTCCACTTAGTCCATGTCTTGGTTTGTTTTGGATACTATGTTATTGGTATTACAGCATTATTATGAAAGCAGAGAGATATGTGCCTCTTGTCTTACTTCACATGAGAAAATGATGTTTTAAGCAGTAGAAATAAACTGTCCTATCTAATCTTTTTTTTTTATAAACTATGCTCCTTGGTTTTGCTTGAAAGTATCCCCTGGATAATACAGAGTAATGCTGTGTGAGTGAGGGCTTGGGCATAGTACTCTGAATTACCTTATGATGTTTGCTCTTAGAGGAATAGCTCTGCTTTCTAATTTCTATCAAAAATCAATTTAGTTTCTCAAAAAGGTACTCTAATTTAAAAATTTCTCAAGACATTAGCCAACCCCTTTGCTAATAAATGATTCCTATGGGCAGTAGCAGCACTTTAGAAGCTACCTTTTTAAAGCCACAATGCTGGATGGCAATAGAGTGCTTTCTGGCATCCCCTCTAGTAGAGTAGACATATTCCTGGAGTGTGAGTCAACAGACCTAGGTTATAATCCAGATAACTGTGTTTCAAACAAGTTATTTAATCCTTAGCTATTGGCCACTCTTCTGGGTGGAATTGTGCCCTCTCTGCTAAATTCATATGTTGAACTCTTAAGCCCCAGTACCTCAAAATATTATCTTATTTAGATATAGGGTCTTTTTTTTTTCACTTTTTTGAGACAAGGTCTCACACTGTCACCCAGGCTGGAATGCAGTGGGGCAATCTCAGCTCACTGCAACCTACACTTCCCAGGCTCAAGCAGTCCTTCTACCTCAGCCTTCTGAATAGCTGGGATTATGGGCACACACCACCACACTCAGCAAATTTTTGTATTTTTTTGTACAGACAGGGTTTTGCCATGTTGTCCAGGCTGGTCTTGAACTCAGGTGATCCTCCCAACTTGGCCTCCCAAAGTGCTGGGATTACAGGTGTGAGCCACCGTGCCAGGCTGACGTAGAGTTTTTACAGAGATAAGTTAAAATGAGGTCAGTAGATTGGGCCCTTATCCAAAAAGACTTGTACCTTTAAAAATGGGAAATTTTGAGACAGACACACATACAGGGAAAATATGATGTAAACATAAACCTGGTGAACTACAAGTCAAGGAGAGAGGCCTGGATCACATCTTTCCCTGACAGCCCTCAGTAGAAACCAACCTTACCAACACCTTGATTTAGGATCTCTAGTTTCCAGGATTCTGAAACAATAAGTTTCTATTGTTGAAGTCACTCTGTGGTATTTGTTATTGCCACCCTAGCAAACTAATACAGCCTCTTATGCCAAAAAGTGATAATGAGATCTTTATGTTACAGCCCTTTCAGATGATCATTACTTCTCTTCTGGATTATTTAAATTATTCTTTAGTTCATCTCTATGCTGTTGTAATCATATTTCAGAAATACAGATCTGATCTTGTCAATGTCCTGCTTATAGTCCTTCAATAAAACACCTACAGAATAAGTTCATACTCCCCAAGGCACCAAGGGCTTTTCATGCTCTATTCTAAATCTACCTATTCAGGTAGCCTCTCTACTCCCAAATGCCATGGTCGCCCATACTCCCATTTCCTCCCTAGATAGTCCTGCTTTTTCCTTTAGTTTGGGAGGTCAAGACCAAGGGCAAGGGAAATGAGGGAAAAGAATTCTGGACAATGCTGGAGAAGATTGAAAGGGAGAGGGGATGAGAAATGGGAAGAAGAAAGACAAGATGGTAAATATTTGTTAATTCACATAGTTTCTATGTGAATTAAGAATGTAAATATTTGTTGATTAAGGTTTTAGTCCAAACAAATTAGAAGGTTTATATAGTCAAAGTTTTTATTTTGTTTAGTCTTGCCAAAATTTTCCCAAACCTCTAGTGGCATAAATGATTGCTCTGCAAAACATCTTTAAAGTTAAAATTGTAGGGTTTTATATATGGAGGCAGATACCTTAGTGAAGCTTTTCTGTATAACCAGGAAAGACAAGTCAGCTTTGCTCAGTGTCGGCATAGTGCACTATCACTATACACTATTGATATAGTTTGGATATTTGTCTCTATCCAAATCTCATACTGAAATGTCATCCCCAGTGTTGGAGATGGGGCCTGATAAGAAGTGTTCGAGTCATGGGAGCAGATCCCTCACGGCTTGGTTCTGTCCTCATGATACTAGTGAGTTCTCATGAGATCTGATTGTTTAAGGGACATGTGATGTCCCTACTCCCACTTCACCTTCCATCATAAGTAAAAGCTCCCTGAGGCCTCCCCATAAGCTGAGCAGATACTGGCACCAGACTTCCTTTACAGCCTCTAGAACTGTGAGCCAGTTTAACCTCTTTTCTTTATAGATTACCCAGTCTCAGGTATTTTTTTATAGCAATGCAGAAACAATATAACACAACAGTATAGTACTTGACACTTGATAGATAACAAAAGAAGACAAAACAAAAAGCAGTATGTTGAATCCCCTTGAGCTCTTTACAACTTGGTTTCTTCTCCTGAAATTTGTCTTTGTTCTTCTCCAGAGGTATTTTGGTCAAAATATAAATAATATAAAACTATCGATTTATACCATTTTGGAAATATATATATATATATATACTATTTTTTAAATAATACAGCATTGTTCTGTACAAGCTAGACATTCCAGAACTGCTTAGAAGAATAAAAAACTATCATTAAACAGAAGTCCTTGCTACTGCTCACCTATGGGAATGTCTACAAGTGAAGCTGCCTAATTGCAAATGAACCCCTGCCCTTTGGGGCTCATATTTGAAAACACTATTGTTTTCCCTTTCTATAGCAGCCTCAAATCTGGCACTTGTGGATGACTGCCTACCTTTCTAGATAACCTTTATCACCACCATCAGTCAGGGTACACCAAAACAAATTTTGTATGTCACGTCCCAAACACACCTTCCAAATGAATCTAGCCATTCTCCTGTGATCCAATAACCAACATTGACAGAAACTGGATTTTAATACATGAATATAATAACCAAAGTTTACTTAGGAGGAGAAATAGCTTGTTTTCACAGCCTCTCAGGTCCTTTATTAGTAGTATTTTTGTGACAATGCATATGGGCTTTTAGGAGCTCCAATTAATATGTAATTATATTAAATTGAAAAGATAATCAGCAACAAAGAAGGACTTAGGGAATAGGCCAAAGTGTGGACTGGAGAAGATAAAAAGGGTGGAGGCTGTAAATGAAGAAAGGAAAAACAAAAATGGCGAGGCTCATAATTCACACAGGTGCTATGTGTATTATTCTTAACTGCTCAAATGAAAATGGAATCAGGGGGAGGAATTGTTATATTGAAGCAAAAACCTTCCAAACTGTAGCAGCTTAATTGGTGGCGTTATGAACATTCTAAAATGTTTTAACATTACTGTTCCAAATTCTGTGAAATAGAGCCATTTTAGTGCTTCTAGACCCTATTATTTTAAGTTTTAACATTTTTTCCTGAACTAAGTGAGGAAGATTAAGGTAAGGCAATTTGGCTCCTGGGTCAGCCTTGGCATTCTTCATCCTGCCCAGATGTATATGATTACATTTTCTATTATGCGAGCCATGGGGACATATGGAATTTTCATCAAAAAGTGATGAAAGAAAACATCTTTAGGAAAGCTAAAATATTGCCTAACTTAGGAAACAACCTTCTTAGACTGGAAATATTTTTTCTGCTTGGCTATCCAGCAGTCTAAGTGTAGTATGTGTGTGAAGAGTGTTGAGGGATTAAGTACATTTGGAGAACAGGCACACAAACAAATAAACCAGAACTATGTAACTTACAAAATTGGGTCAAATACTAGATTATTTATGGTTTATACAAAAAAAAAAGAAAAATAAAGAAACAAATGATAGATGTGGAAATGGGTAATTTTACTTGTGTAAAACTTTGGCAATTGATAAAGATACAGCCAAAAAGTAGAACTACTCACTCATTCTCCAGTATTCCTGAATTTAACCCTTGATTAATTGGAAAACAGGCTGAAGCCTGTGCAGCTGTTCTCCCATCTGCACTTTAATTAAAGAAAAGTTAGGCATAAATTCCCTCCTCTACTAATGATTTAGGAATATAAAATGATAGCAACTAGCAGGCCTCACAGTGCCATTAGAGTTCAGCCTTGCCCACTCTATCTTTGGGAGCTGAGTACCCAGCATATAAACTTTGGTCATATGAACAGTCGCCACATTCTCATAAAATGTTTGCTTGCCTTTTGAGAATTTCAGCGTATGCTGAATTAAACATCCATACTCATACTCTTAAGAATTACAAAGCATGGAATTTGGTTAAAAAAAAAACAATGAATGAGTCAGGACAGCTTTAAGAATATTTTAACAACACATTCTTTTCTTTTTCAATCCCTCTATCAGCCAGGAATATTTTTTCCTGAAAGTAAAACACAACTAGAAGTTGTGTCAATGTAGTATCCATCTAGCAAAACTGTCTGGGACCAAAGTGATGATGATCTTATTTTCTAGGAAATAGTCTTCTTTGAGAATACATTTTATACTAAAGCTGCTTTTCAAGGTAGAGTTAGTTCATGACATTCAATAGGAAATTTGTCTGGATATAAAAGCATTCAAGAAATCCAGACTTTTTCCTTTGAAATCAAGTGTTTTCCTAGGAAGGAGACAGTATTTTAAGTACAAGAATGTGGCTGAAGAACTATTTATCTTGGCAATTACGATTATGCTCTTATGTTAGTTATGAGCACCAAGCACATTATCATTTGCATTTATTTATTAAAATCACCTAATTAAGAAATCTATTTTCAGCACTTTGATATGCAGGCACCATTTCTAAATAGAGTGTTGGGTCTTTCAAATGGAAATATTTTTCTCATGTGCAGACCACTCTATTCCATTGCTCCTGAAATGATAAAGTAATTAGAAGTCCAGACGAATATAAATATTAGAATGTGCATTAAAGTAAGCACTTACTTCCAATTGACGTGTACTCAAAAATAGTTTCTATTTTTTCAGCAAATTTTTTTTCTTAGCTAAGAAGCAAAATGCTAGAAAATAAATAACTGTAGCTAGAAAATATGTAAATAATGTACCAAGAAATGTAGACAGGGTTGAAAACCTATTGGAAAAATGCAGATTTAAAGATAATAACCAATAATGATGATGATAATAGAGGAATAAATAATTTTCAAAAGAAGAGTAAAGATAGGTCACATAAACTTTTTTTTTTTTTAGTTAGGGTCTCACTTTATTGCCCAGACTGGATTGCAGTGGCGCAATCTTGGCTCACTGCAATGTCTGCCTCCTGGGATCAAGCAATTCTCCTGCCTCAGCCTCCTAAGTAGCTGGGATTACAGCATGTGCCACTACGCCAGGCTCATTTCTATATTTTTAGTAGAGATGGGGTTTCACCGTATTGGCCATGCTGGTCTTGAACTCCTGACCTCAAGTGATCCGCCCGCCTCAGCCTCCCAAAGGGCTGGGATTACAGGCGTGAGCCACCGAGCCTGGCCAAGGAATTTTGATAGTAATAAAATTGCACTGAAGAAACAATTATCCTGTGTTTTCATCCTGTATTTGTCTTTATTGTATTAAATTTTAGTGACAGTTCCCTCTTCAGTGCTCTGCCATGTGCTTATGCTCTTATACTCTGAGTTTAAATGTTTGAATTAATTTTTTATTGATAGCAAGCAATGCCTATAACCATATATAGGTCTTCTTCACTGATAATTAATGCATACAAAGGGTGCATCTGTTTTGATCTAAACATGATTTTGAAACTCTTGGTTCATGATTATGGCTCGCTTTTCTATTCAAATGTCTTTTTATTAGTGATAAAGTTCTCATTGCCGTGTCTCTTGAAGAAAACTCAAGGCACAAAATATGAAACAATACAAAATATGGAAGTTTAGTAGAATCCACTCTTTATGTGAAAGTGGTTTGCTTTAAAAAGAAATAGTTAAGAATTTGAGAGTAACATTAAAGGAATAAATTACAAAGTACAGTGATTTCCTCAGCACAAAGTGAAATAGAAATTTAGTATTTTCTGGTAAATTTGATATATATAGGCAGAAATACTTGCAAATCTCACTCCTTAAAATGTGTACCCAATAACTGGCTTTAGAATGTATTTGAAATTGTTCTTTTTATCTCACTTTACTCACTGGCTAAAATATTATCCTAGAGAAAATTTCACAAGAAGGGTTTTCAGAATATAAATACTTATAGTATAGACACTGATTTTTTTTTTCTTGAGGAAAGTTCTGCAAGTCATGTAAATAGCAAAACAGCAGTGGTGTGTGTGGGTATATGTGTGTTTATATTTTTATATATAATTATATAATATAATATATAATTAATATATTATATATTATATAATATAATATATAATTAATATATATTATATTATATTATATATAATTAATATATTATATTAATTATATATAATTAATATATTATATATTATATAATATATAATTAATATATTATATTATTATATTAATATATATATTATTATATATAATAATTATATATAATTAATATAATATATTATATATAATAATTATATATAATTAATATAATATATTATATATAATTAATATATTATATTATATATAATTAATATATAATATATTAATTATATATATTAAAAATGCTTAATATATTATATCTATAATCACTGTGAAATGCTAGATTCCACATCAGAACCCTGTTTTTCTTGTCAGTGTTTTCAGTCATTGAGCCCTCTTTTGTGAAATACAGTGTACACAGCTCAATCTTGTTTTCATCTGACAGCCCTGCTCATTCTGTCTCCATTACCTTGGTAGCATCTTTCCCCTTCCTTCTCTGGCCTGTTTGTGTCTTAACAGTGCAAGTCTTGCCCTTTTGTTCTTTCACACAACTCACTCCTCCTTAATAATCTCATCACTTCTACTACCAGCTCTAAACTGGTAACTACCAACTCATCTTCTATCTAGAATAGAAGACAGCAAAGTTTTTCTGTAAAGGGCCAGAGTGTAGATTGTTTAGCCTTAACAGGCCATACTGTCTCAGTCACAACTACTCACTCTGGCTATTGTGGTGTGAAAGCAACCACAGACAATACAGAAAAGAATGAGCATGGCTGTGTTCCAATAAAAGTGTTTTTATGGACACTGAAATCTGAATTTCGTGAAACTTTCTCATGTGGTGATGTATGTTATGGGTTGAATCATGTCCCCTCAAAATTCATATGTTGCAGTCCTAACTTTAAGTGCCTTAGAATGTGACAGTATTTGGAAACAGTCTTTAATGAGATAATTAAATCAAAATGAGATCATTATGGTGGACCCTAATCCAATATAACTGGCATCCTGTATAAGAAGAGGAAGTAGGACACCGATGACTATAGAAGGAAAATCTTATGAATACGAAGGGCACAAATGGCTACCAACAAGCCCAGGGCAGAGGCCTCAGAAGAAAGCACTGTCAACCTCCAGCCTCCAGAACTGTGAGAAAGTAAATTTCTGTGGTTTAAGACACTCAGTTGGTGGTATTTTACTATACCATCCCTAGGAAATGAATGCAACATATTGGTCTTCTTTTGTTTTTTTTTTTTTTTCAATCTTTTAAATATGATAAAACTCTTCTAAGTTCACAGGCCATACACAAACAGGCAACGGGCCAGATGGGGCCTGCTGGACCTCATTTGCTGACCTTGATCTAGGAATCCTTTCCAAGCTTCATTTTTTATAAAGCAGACCATTCAACAGCTTTAATTCTGCAGATTCCTCATATTTAAACTCTCCCAAGCAAGTTTATAATGATTTGACTTTCTCCCCCTTTTGTGTTTTCTACCTTGGTTAGCAGAACAACTGTCTACTCAGTCACCCACACCTTACACCTGGTAATTAATTTTCCTAGATTCCTCCGTTTCCTTCACTTCTCACATCTGATAAATTACCAACCCTAGTTTTACCTCTGTATGACATCTTCTATCCCTTAGTCTATTGTACCACTCTGCATATTTATCCTGATCTTTAGTTTTACTTCATCTACCCCACTGTTCGCATTACTGCCAGACCAACTTTCTAAAATCTGCATCTACTGGCATTACTCCTCTGCTGAAAACCTTTCATAGCTTCTCTGGTATCCGAAACCAAAGTCTGAACACGATGCACATTGTTTTCCATGTGGTCTTACTTCATCAAATTCATTCCTTGTTGAACCTCTCTTTCAACAGCCATTCAAATGAAATACTTGCTGTTATATTTCCAGGGAGGGCCACAGGTTACCCACCTCCTTGCCTTTCTGCATGCTGCTGTCTTTATAATGCTCTCCTAGGGAAATGGAATGATGGAAACTACTTTTCATCTTCAGTTCTTACTCAAAGCTTGGCAAAAGGTAGGCTTTTAATGAATACATTAGTTAATGAGCAGTGATCAAAAGATAATCAAAAGGGCTATGTGAGAGATGCTAACGTACATATACATTAGCACATACATATGTATGAGAAGCTAATATGAATGTACGTGTGTGTGTTTAGGCATACAAGTTTACACACACATAATCTCTCTTTCTGGTCTAGCCAGCAATCATGTAACAGGTGTGGCAACTTCAGGAGCTGGGTTGAAGAACAGTTGAGTTGCAGATAGTTTGGGTCTAGAATCCCCTTGGTTTGGGAAGCATCCAGAAGAGCTTCCATCCCCATCCATTTCTTGCTCACTTCCTCCTCTCTAGCTTTGTTTACATGTCTCTCGATACCTAGACAGAGGCAGAGGCATGGACTTCTGGTTCTAATCATTCAAGCCTTACACGTCCTTCAAGGCTCCATTCAGAATTATCTTTCCTCGGGGAGTCTGCTTCTCCTATTTCAGGATTTACTGACTATTCTCTTATCTCTTGTAACATTTAATATCCCACTCCTTAGCATTAACTTTTAAACTTGCTTTCTAATCCTGAGGTTTGTGTTCCTTTGCCTTGTAAAATTCTTTGTAAATGGCCAGCCCAGTACGTAGCCCAGTCCCAAGCACCACGTAGGCAATTGAAGGAGCTGGGACAAAAAGAGTTCTTTGTTTGAATTTCTTTTACTGCTCTGAGTTTACTCTGTATTTGCACATGAGTTTTAATGTTTTGGGGCCATTGAACTATTTGAGAATCTAGAAGATAATACACCTCTTTTCAGAAAAACACATATGAATACACACACACACATGCCACCTACACACACAATTTTGCATGTAATTTTAAGGATTCATTAACCTTAGCTTACCAGACTGTAAGTTCCTTTGCATATTGTCTATTTGTATTCCATGCAATACTTAGCACAGTGTCTTGGACATATTAGCAATTTAATAAATATTTGTTGAATTTAATTCTGCTTTCTTTGTATCTCAGAGAAACACCAATTACATTGATACAGGTAGTGGAGCTAAATAAATATTTAGAATGACTCTTTCAATACTTAATCTTATTGTTTTAACATTCTACAAACTCGAATCCACTAAATTAAGTATATTAGTGTTAACAGGTATATACTTTTAATCTTTTTTAATGAAGTGTTTAAGTTTTAAAACATTTGAGTTATAAGGAAACAAAGTAGAAGTCATTCCTCCTTTTATAAATGTCACTGCATTCTATTTTGGGAATAATGTGAATAAGGACCAGGTCTGAGAATTCTAAAATAAAGCATTTCTACCAGTGAAGGAAAGGCATGAGGCACCTTTTTCTTCCACAATCAACCCAAATGTCTCACCACTTAAAACAGATTCTCTTCTGCTTGGGTAGCAATCCTGTTCTTAGCAGTTTTTGGAATAATGAACAACCCTCTTCATAATGACAGAAGTTTGAGCCTTAAAAATAAAATAAATAATTAAAAAGGAGAAGGGAGAGCTGACTGATTGGAACGACACCAAATTTTTATTTTCAATGGCATTTGTAGCCTGTAGAAGTGACACAATTTGTGTCAGTCTAGGAACTCAAGGTAACCAAACACAAATTGTAAATGACCAAATTAAAGTCAGAAGAATTGTAATTAGTTCATTAAGTAAATAATGTGGAGAATTTCTGAACTTAGCGGTGAGATACAAAACAACAAACCATCTATTCAAGAGAAAACAGGATGAAAAAAAATAAAATGAAAATAAAAGCCTAACTTTCTCTTCAAAGAAAACAAAGACAAGACAATGGAAAGAGACATTAAAAAAGGAAGATTCAATTAGCAAGGAAAGGGAAATGGAGAGAAATCCAAGTGGGATTCTCTGGGAAAGAAAAGAATGTGATGAGAGTTTAGATTGTAATCTATAAATAGCCTTTTATTTTATAAATCCTTCATGTGACGCATAGGCTCCATGGTGAGCCTCTCTCATCCTTAATACACAGGGTCTCATGGCACATACCTTTTAAGGCAATCTGCGATAGTAAGCACAAAGAGCTAGGTCTGGAAAATGACTTGGGTTTCTCTCTTTCAAAAACCAAGAAGAAAATTGATGAGGAGAGAATCTGGGAACATTGCACAAATTGTCAGGAGGGCACTGGAGGGAGGGATCGGTCTTAGGAGACTAGGAAATAATTCAGAGAAATAGTATGCTCTGCTTCTTCTCACTTACCAATGTGAGGGATAATTTTAATTACCATCCTATAATGAACCTTCCCCCAAATAACACAGGCGACCACTTTACCTGTCATTCTTCTTCACAGACGTGTCAAGTCTTATGTTCTGTTTGTCTGCTCTCACCGCTTTGTTCTGATTTTCAACTCTGTAAGATCCTAGTCGTGGTGAAAGGGGGTGGGGAGGGGAAAGTGGAGACAGTGAGAGGGCAGATATTTCACAATTAATTCTTTGATATGTTTTGTTTTATTATCAGGATTCCTTTCCATAACATTTCCAAACAGTTGAATCAAAGAAGCAGTCTTTGAAATCCTTTGTCAAACGTAATATACTCTCTTCCAGTTTTTCTTTCTTCTTCTTTTCTTTTTTTTTTTTTAAGCAGGGCAAAAAATTGGCAAATGTAACCTTCATGATGTTTGACATTTCTCTAGAATATTCCTTATTATTGGCCTTTATGAATTTTAATTTTAGAAAATCATGTTATTTTAAAAGAAGAATTAAAATAGATCCTGAGATCCCTGAGATAGGGATGAGTTGTACACATATGCATTCTTAGCCCTCTCTTCCCATCTGGCTGGGAAAACCACAGTGACTGAGGAAAAGGCACTCATCCATGGCTTAATGGGCATGGTCTACAGACCTCGACTCTGCTCAGACTGGTTTCAAGACATTTAAAAACCTATGCCCTCTTTTTAATTTCTTTTAGGAAGATGAATGTCTCCTATCTTCCTTCAGTTACTTATCTTGAAAATCACTGGCTTCTGCATATTCCTTCTAGCCAAAAATATTATATAGAGCTTTGTTTATAGTATTTTTTATTCAAAAAGTGTGTTGTATTGTAAGAATTAAAAAATATGTGTCTATACTCTCCATTGACATTATTTTCTCACCCCCTTTGTGGTTTCACTGAGCTTTCCAAATTGTCCATGGCAATAAACCTATGAGTGCCAACAAAAGAGGTTGTATTTAAGGAATATATTTCCTCTTGAGAATAAAACACATTTATTCTTAGAGACTCTTTCTAGATTCAATACCCCTGCTTTCATTGTCTAAATTTATTTTGCTTATGACAAAAATGTTGTTTTGTACATTTCATCTTTGGAATATTTGGCATATTTTATATGCTCTCTGTGGGGTATCCTATTCCGTTAATAACTTAATGTTGGTTTCTCTGTGTGTGTGTGTAAAACAGCTCCCAAATCTACACCTCTAGCCCGGAACTCACCCTTGAGCTTTTATACCATAGAACATGTATAATATAACTGTAATATAGTTTAGTAGTCCTCTGTTGATAAACAGTTGTATTTTACCATTGTAAACAATGCTGCAAAGACTTTCCTTGTGTATATAGCCCTACATATTTGCAGACTTTGCAATGATTTCTTTAAGATAAATTTTGAGCCCCAAGTCCACAGGATGGATAAAAATGGGTCAGATTATACCTACATATGCATAAGGTTGCCTTGGAGGAAAGGAACCCTGAGGTTTTTAAACCCAATCTTTCAAAATGAGTGAGAAGCATGTTTACTTTTTGCCTTGGAGAGTGACATTATTTTTATTATACTGGGCAGTAAGCATGCATACATGCATACATCTTTGCTCTGGAGGAAGACCCTACTATCTTCCAAGTCTATAAGCAAACTTGCTTTTTGCTCCAGATGGAAACATTATCTCTGTCAAGGGTGTTTTCTAGACAAGCGTAACTGAAAAGGTAGTCTGAAACAGACCAGTCAACGTCTCACTTTTCAAGACAAGCAGAAATGCAAGATCCATAGATAGTTATCTCCAAATAGTACCCACTCCTTGTTTGTAAACTCTCTTGGCTTCTGGTAAATTTTTCCATGAGTACATGACTTCATCACCCATTCCAGTTGATCTGACTAATAAAGGGTGAGATCAAAATACTTTCAGTTTATCTTATATAGAATTTAATAAAGACTATTATAGTCTTTCAGTCATTGTTTTGACCTTTCCACTAGGCTGGAGGCATTAATACAGGTATAAGCGTACACGGCGAAAATCTAGGGCAAGTTTTGTCATCCATAACAATCCTGGCCAGTAGGGTCATAAATCACTTCAGCTGATGTCAGCATGAATTTCGTGCTATCTTTTCTAATTAGATGATTTCCATCATAGGGATGTCTGCCTTCAGGGTACACATAAATGATGAAGCAGTTATCTCACAGCAAGCTTCCCCCAGGTAATGAAGGGTGGCCTTATTTTGGAGAGGCAAAATTATTTACTGGTTGTGTTTCTTTAAACACTGAAAGGTCTTCTTATGCAAGTCACTGTATTTTGGGGAAGGAGGCAAGGTAATGCTCGGCTTCAACACAAGAAGTATTTGGGTACACATGGTGTCCGTGCAAAAATGTGTTCTTGACAATTGTTGGGCCCCACCACTGAAACTTAAATTAATTGGGATCACAGTTTTACAGCAATCAAGTAGGAAATATGGCCTCCAATTGGCTGATAGTTCTTAGGATACTTAGTTCTGTTTGAATTAGGCAGTTATTCCAACTGGCCTTGTTTATCCACAGCACCAGCCAGGTGACACTAATCTGCCCCATGAAAGTACTGAGTGACAACTACAGGAATAAGGAAGAGCAAGATATCCCATGGTCAATGGATATTTTGTGTGAGAGGTAGATTTTCCAGGACCATCACCTGCAATTTCGATTGATTTCTTAATGAGGTTCTGGGTAACAGCAAACAAATTGTGGTCAGGCCTTCTGGCAGGCCACAGCAGATGTAGGACTCAGTTATATTCAAAATTTTGCAACAGCTTGATAGAGCCACAACAGAGCATTTTTCTTCCTGAAGGAAGATGCACAATGATTCTGAAAGACAGAAATCCTTAATGCCTTCTCCCCGCATACCTTCTGGGGTCTGAAGTATTTCCTTCCCAGGAGGCAAGGATGTTGTCTTCCTTCCATCACTAGGATATTGGTGAATAGCTATAACTATACCTTTTTTTCCAGTCATCTTGTATTCATATCCAGATTTCTTATACAAATGGACTAAGTGAAAGAGGAACACAGATATTTTAATAAAACCTACAAAAATTCATTTTTGTCTCCCACTTTGACCCATGTTGATCACTATAGGGGGGCTCTCAAAGTGGTATACTCAACCTAGTGGTCATTATCTTCGTGTTCTATGACCATGTCAATCCAACAAGATAAACCAAGTGGCTAACCAAAATTAAGTTTGAATTCACTAGTTCCCCTTTTGGTTGAGCTGCCACTAGGAGGGTGTACCAACCAGGCCATCTGGGATTGCTTTTAGGGTAAAGAAAGATTCTTCATGTCTAGGAATGGTTATACAGAATCCCAATTTTTCAAAATAAGTCTGTATAACCTCCCCCACTCTCCTTTAAAACTGATCATTATCCAAGAAGTGGCCAAAGAAAGGTGAACAATTTCTGTAGGAAGCCATATTTGGTGACTAGTCTGTCCTACTGAAGTGTGTGGACAGGAAGGAGGGGAGAAAGCTAGAGTCAGAAAGCTTTTGAAATCCTTCATTTACAAGAGGGTTCCAACACTCAAGAATACCAGATGATCGTGAATAATATAATGCATGGAAGATTATTAAAAACTTTGACTATCAACCTATTATTTAGTGGCTGTTGTAATAAGAGGTGCACAACTGTCAACTACAAATAGACTGGAAAACTGAAATCCTCACACCATTTAGTGGCCAGAGTTGGCTGATTGAAATGGAACATATGTAAACTAAAAAATGTGTCAATGGTAGTAAGGCATCATAGGTAACCCTGAAAGGAAGTCAAAGGCCAGATGTAGCCAAAATGCCAGAAAGATGAGGGACATGCCCTGTATAATAGGGCCTCTCTCCCTCCCAGTGAGACCAGTGAGTCAACTTTTGGCAGGGGTCTGGCTTCAGCAATAGCTTCTGCAGCAGAAACATAGACTTCTTTATTTTGTGCTCTGCCTATGATGGTGGGTGTATTCCCTTGTTTGGGACCATTATGGCTCCAAGAAGCAGTAGCTATTTAGAAGGGTTAGCAACAACCAGGGCACCCTTCCTGCATCTGCCTGTGAACCTGCCTCCTAGTAATGGCCTACAATAACCTCCCTATACCTACTCATTAATAGGCAATACAATGAAGTCCATTTACTGCCAGGTAGGCTATCCAATCGGGTCTATATGTTTACCATTGATTGCTATGAACTTTTCCCAAATGTTGTCAATTGCCTCATGAGGCTTTAATCTACTCTTTTCCAGAAATCTTGTCTTTGTCAGTATCCCATATGCATTGCCAAACTGTCAAAAACTATGAAAGTTCTGAGGTTTTTCTCCACTTGGGAGCAAACAAGTTAGCTTGCCACAGCTTTATGAATGATTGCAGAATATGTGAGATTCCTTTGTCAGAATCAAAAAACTTCATTATTCATGGCAGGAGAATCAGCATATTCTCTCCTGGGTCTCTGAGCCCTAGATTTCACACCCAAAGAGGGCTAGATAATAAGTGCACATGCAGTGAACTGTGCTCCAAGCAAATGAAATTGGAGCTTGGGTAGCCAAATATTTTATAATGGACAGTAAGTGTGCTTGATTATGCCCTGGAGGGAGACATTCTCTTGATTTTACTGAACAGTAAGTAAATCTGCCTCTTCTTCTGGAGGAATGCACCATCCCTATACTCTAAGGCTGTTTTCTATACAAACATATTTAAAAATAGAGTCTGGGAAAAAAAAACTGCCCACAAGACATGCAGAAATGTAAAAGACCTGTGGATATTTTCTCCTATCAATTTCCTGTCTACATATTCCAGCACAGCCCATGACCCAGGTGCCTGATTCCATGATTCAGAAGTTTGTATCTGCCTCATCTCACCATAGTAAACAAAATACTTAGATCATAAACATTTCCTTTCAGAATTCTTGTAATATTGAGACATATGCCAGTTCAAAAATCAAGGCCTTCAAAGCAAATTGTATTGCACTTCGTGAATCCTTACTCCATTTCCTAGTTTTCCTACTTCCTCTGTTCACTTCCCCTCTGACCTTGTTCATGGAAATGTTGCTTACTTGATATAGTATATTCCTAAGAATTTAAGTACTGTTTTAATAAATGAAATCAACCTTAATTTATTTTCGTAAGCATGAGGCTCAATATGTGTAGAATGTGACTGGAGAAAAATTTTACTTTATCTAGACAGAAATGTAAAAAACTAGAAAAATAGATCTCATACTCAAATAAAATGGAGACAATGCTGTTATGATTATGAGCAAATGAAGATTTATACTCTGCAAAGGATTTAGTATTTGCTATTTCCCCCCAAATCTGAGAACTGCATTATAGAATGAGTTTGAGGAGTAAAGAATCTGCCTCATGTTTCATTTAGTTGATTCCGTTTTCGCAGAGAGGATAGGATTTCAATTCAATAAGTCTAAGATATGTTATTTCAGCCCCTCACCTTAATAGCTTTAGTCAAGTTGTATGTAAGATATTTTTACAAAGGGATGATGGAAAACCAGGATTTTGGTAAAAGATCAGAGTAAATGTTAGGATATCTATAGTAGAATGTACTAATGGTTCAAATTAATTCATTCCACTGGGATGTACTTAAAGTGGGTCTAGCTTAGTCATAGGAAAACATAAGTCTGGAATATATATATATATATATATACATATATATATATGTATATATATATATGCAGCAACACATGGTCTCAAAAATATTCTTTATAAAATAAAGAATTGAGGGCAAGTTTCTCCCCATCACCCTAAAGGAATGTTGTGCTATAATTTAGAGAATTAAAAAAAATCCTGACTAGCTAATAGCTACCACGTGGCTTTCATCAATCTACCCACAAGTAGGTTTCCCATTTACAGACTGCAAAGGCTCTAGAATAATCTTTGTTGCAGTTTTCTTTTTAATGAAGTGTTGCCATTTCTGAGATGCATATACGACTTTTAAAATACTTAAAGAACCTTTCTTTAGTGGTGAGATATCTTACAATTTACTGACAGTGAGATGGAAGAAATTACATTTTGCACAATAAAATTTGCTTTCTTTTCCAGAAGGTAAGTGGTATAAAAGATGAGGCCTAAGACATGTCCTTTAAAGATACACAGACAGAAAGTCATGCCATTTGCTTCTAATTTAATTGTTCTAGTGAGCAATAATTTTTCAGATCCCAGTTAAGAAAGGGAAAAATGATAAATTGAGTTCTCATGGACAAATCTATCTCAAGACCGAGATTCTCCTGCCTGCATGAAACCACTGGTTCATCACAGGCTTTACCTGAGTCCCACAGAGAAAACTATCCAAATTTATGCCTGACTTGCACAGGTGATCCCATCTGTCAGTCTTTTGAGACCCTTTATGTGTTCTCTGGCCTTAATTGTTCTCTAGTTTTAGGGAGTCCACTGGCAAGAGAGCAGTTGTCAAGGCAAGCTGAGAACTAGAGTATTATCAAATTGTTTGTGTATGCTTCCTCACCTGGCTTTCTGCTAAGCTCTAATAACAAGAAAAGGTGGTATTGGTCTATTAATAATTAATAGCACCCAGTGCAAATGAAGCACTTCTGTCATAGGGCTTCATCAGGTCATGGTACAATAGGGGTTGCAGGTTCTGTAAGCGTGAGTGGTATTTGCATATGTCAGAACAGACCGTGCATGCTAACAGCACAAACACTTCACATCTGCTTCTGTTTACTCCCATGCTAACACCCCAAAGTGCGGGAGCCCTGTGTTAATTGCTCAGTTATATATTGACTGTTGATGTGTCCTCCACAGAGCTTTCCATAAGTGCACTGTTGCAAATAAACTGCTAATGACTTTGCTTATTCCAGTCTCCCTTTTAAAGGAAATCTACAAAATACACACAGATTAATGATTCCTGTATTTAGCAGTGTGTCTTGTGACTAGGTTTGCATAGAAGCAGTATCAATTAAGTAGCAATTATCTGCAAAGTGGAAAAAAGAGGAAAGATATAAATAAGTAATGAGTGTGATGCTAAAATCTCAGAGAACAACTAGAATTGAACTCTAAGGCAAGGGCACCGACTAGTGAACATTTTTTTCTCATCTTTTCCTTTTATACCTGACACCCATAGAGCACCCAAGAAAACCAGAACAAGAAGAAACATTTAAGTTGGTGATTTTAAAAATATTGATTTTCAGGTGATCACTGTTTTGAAAAAGCAAAGAAACGAAGGAAAAAGAGTTACACCTAAACAGCATTAACAAGAAAATTCACAAAAAAATGGCCCTATAAATGTCTATTTTATGGGAAAAACCCACCTAGTTAAAACATATCAGATTTCCTTTATGTCTTAGTAACAGAGGTTAGCACAGAGTGCTAATTTATCCCTTTAATCTTGTCATGTAATGGCTATTATCAGTATCTGATAAAACTTGTCTGGAAAATTCCACTTTATCTGGCTATAAAGAAAAAAAATCTGGTGGAGTTTGAGGATATGCAAAGTGTCCAAATCAGTAGGACAGATAAGAAACCTTATAAGGTCTATTTTGTTTATTAATTTTAGCTTGTAACAGCCAGACAGATTCCTTAGGTGTACGTCCTCAGAAGATACTCAGAGAAGCAAAAACCATGGCAACTATGCAGGGCAAAAGGAAGAAAAGGACTGGGATCAGTTGGCTCTAGTCCTTGTCAACCAATGCAGTTTTGATTTGGGTCTCTTCCATCAGCAACAAGGGATTGGGCAAAGTGTGTATTACAGCGGATAACCAAATGGTTTCTCTGATCTGTAGACCAGTGATTCCTTTGAGAGCTTTTTTTCTCAGGGCTGAATGACCATGATAGGACAACGTTTTCTACGTATTTAACTTACAGTAACCATAATTTACAAACCTTAAGTGAAGATATATGGTTTGACAAATATGTATCGAGAAAGACAATTCAAAATGTGAACTGTATTGGGTAGAATAAGATTAGCCTGAAGTCTGGAGCTCACTAGGCTCACTCCTCCTTCCCTCCTGTTCTCCTTTCACAGGTGTCAGGTCAGCACTGCAGTCCAATGGCTCTTCCCACCTCCTCCTCCTGCCTTTCCCCTTTATCTTTCACAGATGTTCCCCCAATATTTGTTTAGGTTGAGGCTCATTTAGTTGTATTATTTTCCTGCAACTGAAAAGTCCTTAAACAACTGCAGATACTCATTCCCTCATCTGAAAATCATTGAGCTAAGTGCATCTGGGAATTCAGAATAAAGTACGATCTATCTTATATTACAAACTAACTCCATTTGGGCCATCACACAGTGACTATGCTGCAAAACCCAAACATGCACACAAAATAGAATGAATAAAGGTTACACATAATCTCACTCAAGTATGAATTGCTTTTTTTGGCCAAGAAATAAGTTTAGATCAGATTGGGAATGACCTCTAAGTAAGTTACCAAAAACACTTTTTGTTTTTCAGAACTTTATAGATTTCACAACTGTGAATCAGGGATGGTGAATCTATTTAGCTTTTGTGCTATTGTCTATAGCCTATTTTACTCTCAGAGACTCATAATTTCTTCCTCCTTGTATTATTGATCTATTAGATCCTAATCCAGTGGTTTTCAATCAACAACATCAGTAAGGATCTCCTGGGTGGCAATTTTCAACTCCTAATATTTATTCAGCAGGTCTAGTGTTAGGTCTAAGAGCCTGCATTTTTTAACAAGCTGGGCAACCGACATTCCCACCTGTGATCCTGACGCAGGTCTTAGGAGTTACA
This sequence comes from Homo sapiens, assembly GCF_000001405.40. NCBI lineage: Eukaryota > Metazoa > Chordata > Mammalia > Primates > Hominidae > Homo > Homo sapiens. The sequence continues at coordinate 113,798,056 of NC_000007.14, read as the reverse complement.
CTTTAAAAATACTTTCCTAGACTTTGAGTTCACTTTTCACTAAACCACTAATATCCCTAGTTCTAGGTTTAACCTCTTGGATTTAGAAGGTTGGGTTTTATTTGTTTTTTTTTTTTTTTTTTTTTTTGAAAATTAGAAACAGCTAACTAGCTTTTTTATTCTCTTGTTCTGACTCAGTGACTCTGCCTATTTTTGCAGCTAGCTCATACAGCCATTCATTTCCCAGTGTGATATTAACTTCACCAATAACTCTAGGGATGTTTATCTTGGAATGGCAGGAGTTAGCTTTTTGAACTGAAATAGAGCTGAATAGTTTCCACTTATCTCTGAGTACCTGTCTCACCGGAGTATCAGCTTTGAGCTTATAGAGTTCTGTGAGGAGTCTCCCTGTTCTCATTATAGTTGAAGTTATAGGTAGAAAAACTACAGATAAACTCTGATGGGTGAATGAGCCCACAACAGGTGTAGCAGACCTGTTGTCACATAATGAATTTGTAAGTGTACTCAACTCAACACTGCTTTTAGCTTGGTTCTCTTGCGGGACCAATTTCCTTTAGAATGAGTAAAAAAGTTATATTTCTAAAGTTTCCTTTCTCTTTCCAATAATATTACTGATTTCTATTTTAAGCTGGGTGCAACCTGAAACTGGAGACAAATCAAGACTATAAGGGGATATGTTAAGAGGAAAGGTGAAGAAAAAAAAAAAACAATGTCTGGAAAAGGGCCCAGGTGTTTATTTGGTTAATATGCTTTCTGAAAACAAATGTTTGCTTTCCTCTGAGCAGGTATTTAAACATTTCTGCTAAAAGCAACTTAAATGGCCATGTATTAACGAGGAATACAAGAAAAACTAATTCCAAAAGCATCCTTCAGAATTACATAAACACCATGATTTCCAGATTGTGATTGACCAAACTGGGGCATATGGCATTTTGCTGGTTTTAAACTGGAATTAGACATTACATGTGATACATATCTCTAGAGAAACAATTTTAAGGAAAATGTTAGAAAAAAATATAATTTTTAATGCTAAAATAAAAAGAGGCATTTTGGTATAGAACACAAGTTTGTGTGTTTTAATTAGCAAAACACAAGCCTGTTAAGAAATACCATAAATAAAAATACCTCTTTAGACTAAGACCTCACATCCTACAGGGGTCTGTCTCTTCCTCAGTGATTCAGGGTAAGCTGGTGGGAAAGTTAGGAAACACTGCAGTTGATTGTGACATGTGTGGTTAGGTATTTCCTGTAAAGAGCCTAAGCATGCCCACTTTGTTATTCTACTGCCTGCCCTTGAATTCTCCATCTCAACTTACAACATATGGAGTGAAAAGCTGTATGAACATTGTGCGTTGTAGTTGTTCTACCAAGGATATGCAACAGGATGTTAAAGCTGAACTATTTCTGACTCCGTTTTGGCCAAAGCCCCAAAACAATATTTGCCAGCTATTCCACATTCTAAAGTTAGACCACCTATGTAGGACTTGCACAGTAATAGAGGAAATAGAGAAGGAACCCACAATACCTCTTTCCCACTGCAGGTAACAACCTAGCAGGCCAACTAGGGCTGAGGAGAAGCTCTAACTTTAGATGAAGTTTGATATTACATGGACAGGACATTTTAATTGCTGAAATGAGACTTTCTCTTTGTGACCAGATGCAATCAGAGAATTTTTTATTACCTATGAGTAACCAAAAAGTCATGGCGTTTCCTCTCAATTTCATCTGAGTAGCAGAGAAAATAATAATACCTTTGTTGGGTATGAATAGGCAGTGGGGTAAAAAATGAAGTTTTCTCTTTAATTTGTTTTTGTTTTTGTTTTGTTTTACTGCATACCTGTCAGTGGTACATGAATCAAGAAGAAAGGAGCTGTATAAGGATGTCTACTAGTTCTTTTCTTTTTTGCTGTTTGTTTCAAGGGCCTATGATGCTTATGTTGATGGACCCTAAGCTTGCACCAAAACATGATGTTTCTTTTCCATGTCACAACACATTCTTTACTTACTTTTGCTATGTGTCTTGAAATCTTTTCTTATTCAATGCTGCTCTTGTTGTTCATTTTGTCCATATTTTACTTTTAAAAACATATTGAGATAATATTGTGTGTCATTTTTTATAGGGTCTATAGTCTCCCATGTGATGATGATGCTGGAATGACTTTCTAATTTCATAGAAAGGGTCTGCCATCTCCAGAAAGACTAGAAACCAAACAGAAAATTACATCATAATGCAAAAGATAAATAAGTTATGGCTGTAACTTCATAAAAAGTGTTTAGTTCTTGGCTTACACATTCCTGACCTGATTACAAGTTTGTCTAATCCAATTGTGTCTTTCTGTTGAGTTTCTTGTAAACAAAAAGTAGTTGAATCTTGCTTTTCCATCCAAGCTGACAAACTCTATGTTTTAATTGACATTGGAATCATTTGTATTTAATGTAATTATTAACATGTTTGGGTTAAATCTATTTTAGTGTTTTTGTTTTCTATTCCTCTCAACTATGTTTTGTTTTCTTTTTCTTCCTTTTATTTTATTAGATTTCTTATTTTGTATGATTCCATTTAATCTCCACTATTAGTCTACTAGCCTTCTCTTCCTCTCTCTCTTACTCTGTTGGTGGTTTCTCTATAGTTTAAAATGTACATCTTTAATTTATCAAGTCTACCTTTAAATAATATAGCATTTCATGTAATGTGTAAGGGCCTTACAAGAATATACTTTGGTTTCTCCTTTACCATCCATTTTGTTACGAGTGTCTTGCATTTTACTTCTCCACATGTTGTAATCCCCAAAGAACAATTTTCCCAGTTTTATTTACACATTCATATATTAAAGAAAATAGAAAGAGTAAAAAATATCTTGAATATTTACTTATATATCTAACATTGTTACCACTCTTCATTCTTGTATTGTATATTAAAATGTCTACCTAGAATCATATTCCTTTTGGCCAAAACCACTTTTAACATTTTTTCTAATGCATTTCTTCTTTTATGTCTTGAAAAGTTTTTATTTCACTTTTGTTTTTGAGGAATATATTACTTGGTATAGAATTCTAGATTGACAGTATTTTTGTTTGTTTATTAGTTTTGTTTTGTTTTTGCTTTCATTACCTGATGATATTGGTTCATGGTTCATTTTCTTCTGACTTGCTTTTTTTTTGAAGAGAGGTTTATGATGATTCTTATCTTTCCTTTTCTGTAGATGCTATGTCTTTTTTCTTTGGTATTCATCTAGCTTTTCTACCTTTGGTTTACAGCAGTTTGATGATGATGATGATGATGATGATGATGCACTTAGGTGTGTTTCTTCCTATTTATTCTTCTGAAGTTCTCAGAATTTTTGGAATCTGTGGTTGATTTGGAGAAGTCTTCACGATTATCTCTCTAAACATTTCTTTTTATCTCTTTCTGCATCTCCAAATATATGTATGTTAGACCATGAGATGTCATATCATAGTTCTTGGGTGCTCTGTTTCAGATTCTCTCTCTCCTCTTTTTATTTGTGCTTTAGTTTGAATAATTTATGTTGCTCTATTTTGAAATTCACTGATTATTTCCTGGGTTTAGTCTGCTAAGAAGCCCAGCAAATGTATGCTTTCTCTCTGATGTGTATTTTACTTCTAGAATCTTCCTTTGGCTCTTTTATGATATTTTCACCTCTCTGCAGAAATCTCTCTGTTCATGCATTTTGTTTATTTTTCATATCAAATTTTTAAACATATTATCATAGTTATTTTAGTATTTCTCTGATAGTTACATTTGGATCTGATTAGTTATCTTGCTTACTTCTTAAAAATTTTTAAAGATTTTCTTGCTCTTTTACATTTTTTTATTAGTACATTCCAGACATCATGTATAAAAGAACAGTAAAGACCAAGGTAAATAATATTTATGTTTGGAAATAAGTTCATCTCTTCTATCAGGCTGTTAGTTTGGGCTTGATTCAATTAATCAGTACCTTACCTAGATTTTGTTGCTGTATTTACCTTTATGTTCTACAGACTTCAAATTACTTCAGTGGTAGATTTCTACTCTCTTGTGTTTCTCTTGTGTTTAGTTCAGGGGCTGGGATACCAGGAAGTTTTTCTCAGTGTTCCTGCTTTCCATTCAGCTTTCATAGATGTGCATAGGCCCTGCATACCTGGGCCATCTATTTACCTCTTTGCTTCTGACCCTCTCAAAGACACAGATTGTTACTCAAGCAACAAGTATATGGCTCTATGGGGAAAAAGTGGCTCTCACTTGTCCTCCATTTTCAGTATTATGCAGGGCCTGTGCACTGGAGTCTCAAGGGGGAGCTTTTACAATGTTGTTTCTCCTCCAGTGGCAGTCATGTTTTCCCTTCAACACAGCATGGACTTTAGAGGGCAAGGAGCTTTCCTTCCTTTCATTGATCTCAGCCTAACTCTGTCTTCTGTCAGTGGGAGAGTTGACATGCGTAAGTTTCCTGCCTCTCCCCAGTAGCCTTAGACATCACTTTTATACTAGTACAAGGCCCTAAGCGCACATTTTTTATTTCCTGATTCTCTACCAGCAGCAGTTGGTTTTTCCTAGGATTAGTGGAGGATGGTAGGTGGGGAGTCATGTTTTCTGTCATTTTTCCCCTTGGTGGCAGCTGATAATTTTCTGGAACACGAAGCCAAGAAATTTTCCTGCCCCTTGCCACAGCTGACCACTGGTTCTTTAATTAGTGTGTACTATTTCTACCTACATTCCTTTGGTCTGAACTTTGTCAGTTGGTCACATCTAATTCTAATGGGGAGAGTTGGGAAATGTAGCCTTCCTGTGTACACTGTAGGAAATTAAACAGCATAATAAACACATCATGTTGTCTCTGCTTTACGAAGATAATGGGAAAGAGACTAAATTGAGGACTACTCCTAGTTTTCAGTCTCCTTGGCTTTGTAATCACGACTTGATAATCTGGCCCCTGTCTACATCTTCAGCTTTATTTTCTCCCACATTCTACACATATCCTGTGGTGCAGGATAACTGTTTACATGTATTTTAAATACTGCACTCTCTCTTGAGCATTCTTTTTGCATATGCTCTGTCTCCTTTCTTCATTGTTTCCCTTTTTACATCCTGTCTCCAGGGAATCATCTCCAGCCTTTCTTCCATGACCCTATACAATTTTACAGTTTTCTGTTTTAGCATTTATCAAGCTGTGTTATAATTGATTGTAAGTTATTTGAAGATAGGACAAGTGCAGAGACATGTGTTGGGTAACAGATTTCATTTTCTTTCAGGATATTATAGTTCTAGTGCTCTGAGAGAAATCTAGTTATCCAACACTAACTACAGTATTTACTCAACTTCTTTCTGGTTTTCTCTCATTCTCTAGCCTTCTTTTGCATATTCTACTACTAATTAAGTGATTTTGAAAAGTATTTCAAATTCTTGAAAAAGAAATACTTTAATAAAAATAATGGATAATACTTATTATTCTAAGTATCTCACATGTATCAATTCATTTAATTTTCACAACAACCTTATAAAGTATTATTTGTCTATTTAAGAAATGAAATAGAGGCTGGGGCAGGCGGATCATGAGTTCAGGAGATCGAGACCATCCTGACTAACATGATGAAACCCTGTCTCTACTAAAACTACAAAAAATTAGCCGGGCGTGATGGTGGTTGGCACCTGTAGTCCCAGCTACTGGGGAGGCCGAGGCAGGAGAATGGTGTGAATCTGGGAGGCGGAGCTTGCAGTGAGCCGAGATCTCGCTACTGCACTCCAGGCTGGACAACAGAGCGAGACTCTGTCTCAGAAAAAAAAAAAAAAAAGACAAAAAAAGAAAAAGAAAGAAAGAAGCACAGAAAGGTTATGTAACAATTTTACACAGCTAGCAGGGGTTAGGCTTGGGATATGGAGCCAGGCAATTTGACTTTGTGGTCTGGGCTCTTTGGAACAGGTGTTCATCCTCTGTCCAATTAACAGTGGTAATTACAGTGACATTACTTAATACCAAGAATATGACTATATCAGTCAGAATCCAGATAGGAAAACAGAAATATTTTATTATAGTTCATTTAACAGACAAATTTTAATTTAGAGTGTTGGTTAAACAGTACTGGAGGGCTGAGAATGATTAAGTGAAACCCTGAGGTTACAAAGGCTATGCCCCCTACCATCCCACTCCTACCCTGCGCACGCTCACCTCTACATTTAATGGAGAAGTTGGGAGGCAGCAAAAAGAATTGCCAGACCAATAGTCTAATGATGCTGTATCTGTAAGGATGTAGTCAGAAATTTGTTAACTAGGTAATCTATAGGGTAAAAGGGAACTCTAGGGTGTCACTGAGCCAGCAACTACAGGATGAGTTCCTAAAGGAGAAAAAGGGAAATGGTTAAAATTGTTAAGACTTAGCAGAGGGGTTCTGTAGAGTTGAAACTCAGACTACAGAGGAGTCTGAGATCCCATGAGTCTGGGATCCAGACTTCCAAGAAGTGGATGCCAGACCACTAGTGTGTTTGTCTCATGGTGATAGTGGGGAGGTCATGAGGGAGCTAGTTTTGCAAGTGTTCAAAACTCTGCAAAACTGATTTATCTGCTTTTGCAGAAAGGAATTGCTACTGCTGGGATGAAGAGTCATTGCTATCATGATGCTCAGAGGAACAGTAAGGAGGCAAGAAGCAAAACAGGAGATATCAAGGCTCTTCCTCCTCCTTTCTTCTAGCAGAATCCCTCTAGTGTCCCCTATTGTCAGAGTCTAACAGAAATGTTAACTATGGAGGTGAAATGCTGAAATTTGCTTTGCAGAGTTGCATCACTAGTGTTGCAAAGCCAAGTATAGATGAGTGGATTTGGAGCTAAGAGACAATAGATTGATAAGCAGAACAAATGGACATAGGTCTTGGGCTATATGTCTGGAGGAATGTGCTTGCTAGAGATAGGAACCTTCCAATTTCAGTTGTAAATTGAGGAGTGTGCCCACAATCCTGAGTTTCAGACTGACACTGTGCAGTCCTTCTCAAGTCAGCTGGCCTGGGACCTAAGTTGATGGGCAATAGTCAGCAGAAGACAGAGAGGTCCATCTCCTTAATGTGTCTACAAATGTCAAAAATAAGGTGAAGGTAGGATGGTAAGAAACGCACTCTCTCAAATTCCAGGGGGTGTTCCTAGCAGATGGGGAGCTCATCCTGAGATACAGACAGTAAGGAGCTGGGCTACTTTTCAGCACATGAGTCGTCTCAGCAGGGGTGATTGTGTACCTAAATTGTCTTTGGACCTGGCCTCCAAAGATCTTCTCCCAGGTCCTCAAGAAAGAGGACTTATAAGAAACAAAGTAAATAGACTAAAAAAAAATTTTAATGTAAGTATCTGATGTGATTAAAGCAATTCATTGGAAAGGTTAATCTAGAAATGACATGTTGGATTAGAAGGAAGGAGAATTGGCAGACAAGACGCCCAACGAGACAACGAAGCCTATTGTCTGAACTAGGGTTCTAACAAGCAGACTTGAAACACAAAAACATAAATACCATTCAAGAAGGGAAAGAGAAGGAAAAAAGATGATAGCCAGTGAAACTTATCATGTTATATAGAGCCTGTTGTTATTATGCCCATCTCCTTTGCTGGATTCTGAGCAATGGGTATAGAAAGACATTTTCTTGTTTGCCATTCTTATTGGGGGTTGGAGGGAGACAGGCTCTAATAAAAAAGCTATGGCATTATTAAAAACACAAAAGAGAAAGACTTCCTGAAAACAGCATAGTGAGAAGAGTACTTCTGGTAGAGATTTAGAAGGAGGCCTGCACAAATACATGCGAGTAGTGTTGGCAGCTGCTGGACAGTAACTTGAGTGACATTGGCAGGCTCTACTTGTGACAATTGGCAGAGTCATGAGGTCCAGTGTTATCAGCAACTGGCATGCAGTTAATCGTGGAGTCAATAAGGCTGTGTAGTGGACAGAGAGGGCCACACATTTCTGCAGACTTCCCGTAATGGCTGCCAAAGAGAATGTATCTGCAAACTCCACAATCCTGCTGCAGGGAGGCACCACCTTGGGGAGCGGGCAATTATAGTAAGGATGATAGTGACAGTGCAGCATCTAAACTTTATTAAAGTTACCTGGCACCTTGCTAGATGTTACACATACATTGTTTTATTTAGTTCTTATAAACCAATTCTAAAGTAGGTACTATTATCATGATCCCTACTTTATAGATTATGAAATTTGGGCTTAGAAAATTAAAGTGAGTTTGTCAAGATCACATGGATATAAATGGAAAACCCAGGTTTACTTTCTCAAAAGCCTGTGCTAAGGGCTACCAGGTCTTGTAAGGAAGCTCAGGCCAATCATGACTTTCCTCACCACACTTTCTGTTCCCATTGTCCATCATCTCCTCCTAAGCTCATACTGGCTGGAAACTGAGGGTTCTATGTAAAGGGTTGTAAGCATAATGGATCAGGGTTAATAAAATACAGGTTTACATGCAAATAGGTAATCTTATTGCTCCCTCCTTCACAGTGTTGTTGCTTCTCAAATATTTGTAATTCTTGATCATGAGCTCAGGTTTGCAACTGGTATTTCCCACTACATTAACCACTGCCAACTTAAATTTGCTATAGATTTTTGGCAGATGCACTTTATTTGGTTAAGAAGCTCTTGCTCTATTCTCAGGTTTCTAGGAATTTTATTATGAATTGGTTTAACCCATCTATTTTATTTTTAATATTATGGAAAATATTTCCATTTTTAAAAGTTCTGTTTAGTTCTTTATCAATTTTCCTGTTCTTTCCTTCTTTCTAGCTTAATATTTATTATCATTTGTTTATGTCTTTTTTCAATCATTTTAAAATGTAGCACTCAGCAAGATACTTTGCAACTTTCTTTCTTTGTTGAGACAAGGTCTCACTCTGTTGCCCAAGCTGGAGTGCAGTGGCATGATCACAGCTCACTGCAGCCTCTAATTCCTGTGCTTAAGCTATCCTGCCACCTTAGCCTCCTTAGTAGCTAGGACTGTAGAGGCATGTCACCATGACTGACTAATTTTTTAAAAAAATATTTTGCATAAATGGGGTCTCACTATGTGTTGCCTGGGCTGGTCTCGCACTTCTGGCCTCAAACAATTCTCCCACCTCGACCTCCCAAAGTGTTGGGTTTACAGGCATGAACTACACACCTGTCCCACAACTTTCTTTGGCTCTTGTGACTCTGTTTTCAACTCCCCTTTACATCAGTGTGGCATCCTTCAAGGCTGTGAGGCATTTCCAGGACAGTCAGTCTCAACTACTCTTCATGAACTGGTTTAAGGGTACTTTTCTATTCCCATATGAGTAGTAATAATTCATTTCCCAGAGCTTCAGAACTGTGTCGTGTCTGATACCCTAGTCTCCTGTCATGGCATCAGTTATATATCTACAGCTTTGATTGTTCTCTTCATTTTTCAGAAGTAAGGATTTTTCCATTCTTTTATTCTTTCCTTTTCCTCTTTTTTAATGCTTGGCTATGATTTATGTATTTTTGTTTTATTTTGTCTAGTACGTCTACATATGTATGGGAAGAGGGACTTCTGGGTTCACTCAGTTCACCATGTTGCTGGAAAGCATTATAAAATATTAGTGCTATAATAATCATTTTTCTATATGCCCTTTATATGCTAGTTCAATTTGGTTTTTTGAGGATAAATTTATACATGTGAATCTTCTTATAGAAAAAAAATTTAGAATTATGATTAATTTTTTTCAAATTTTTATCCAGAAAGTTTACAGTTTACACTGATACCAGTAGTGCCTGAGAATACATGTTCCAGAGACATGCTGAGACTTAAAGGTTGAATAAAAGTTTACCAAGTGAAGAAGGGAAGAAATGCATTCCATACAGAGGCAGCAATATGTAAAAATGCAAAGAAATATTCAAAAATATATTTCAGGAGTTACAGGAGATTCACTAGGGAATAATGAAAAGATTATGGATATATGAATTATAAAATCCTTGCTTTGTCACTTCCTTACCCACATCCTAGGAAGGTGGATAAATTAATTAATCCCTTAGACCTGATTTTTGTTACTTGTGAAATGATGGTCATCCACATTTTAGGTTTCTTGTGAGTACTAAGTAAAATAATGTTAGCAGAGTACCTGGTAGGTGATCATTCATTTAGTAAGTTATATCTTATGTTGTCAAGACTAGAATATTAGGTCTAGAAGGGTTTATTTAGAACTGATACCATTTTTTTTCCTTTAAATATTTGTTAGAATTCACCCATAAAACCCATCTGAGGGTCGGGCGTGGTGACTCACGCCTGTAATCCCAGCACTTTTGGAGGCCGAGGCTGGCGGATCACAAGGTCAGGAGATTGAGACCATCCTGGCTAACATGGTGAAACCCCGTCTCTACTAAAAATACAAAAAATGCCCAGGCGTGGTGGCGGGCGTCTGTAGTGCCAGCTACTCCAGAGGCTGAGGCAGGAGAATGGCGTGAACCGGGGAGGCAGAGTTTGCAGTGAGCCGAGACGATGCCACTGTACTCCAGCCTGGGTGACACAGTGAGATGCAATCAAAACAAACAAACAAACACACAAACAAAAAACCATTTGACCAGGTGTTTCTCTATGCAAAGATTTTTAACTAAAAATTAAGTTTCTTTGGTAGATATAGAAATATTCGGGTTATATATTGCCTTTTGAATGAGCTTTAGTAGTTTGTGTTTTTTAAGGAACTGGTTCATTTCAACAAAGTTGTCTAATTTACTGGAATAAAGTTATTCGCAATAATTTATTTTTACCTTTTAAATATCTGTAGATTCTGTGGTGATGTCATCTCTCTCATTCCTGATATTTGTAATTTGTGATTTCTCTTTTATTTCTGATCAGCTTGAATTAAAGTTTATCCATTTTATTGCTATGCTTAGAGGGCCAGCTTTTGTTTGTATTAATTTCCTCTGTGGTTTTTCTGTTTTATTTTTCATTTATTTCTGTTCTGATCTTTATTATTTCTTTTCTTTTGCTTACTTTGGCTTTGGTTTTATTTTCTCTTTGTAGCTTTTTTAAGCTAAAAGCTGAGGATATTGATTTGAGACCATTCTTCTTTTCTAATCTGTGTGTTTAGCACAGAAAACTTGTTAGTGCTATTAAGCACTGTTTTGGCAGCCTCTCACAAATTTTGGCCTGCTGTGTTTTTCATTGTTTAATTTAAAATGCTTTCTAATTTTATTTTTTATTTCTTCTTTATCCAAAGAAGTTTCCATATCTTTGGAAATTTAAAGAGATCTTTCTGCTAATAATTGTTCTCTGATCATAATGGTCAGAGAACAATTGATCTGTGATTATAATGGTCAGAGAACATACTTTGTCTGACTTGAATAATTTAAAATTTATTGAAACTTGTTTCATGGTGCATATTATGGTCTATCTGGGTAAGTGTTCTATGTGCACTTAAAAAGAATGTGAATTCTGCTGTTGTTGGGAGAAATGTTCTACAAATGTCAGGCAAAGGTCAAATTCGTTGACGATGTTTTTCAAGTCTTCTATATCCATACTGATTTTTCTGTCCACTTGTTCCATTAATTATTTATTGAGAATGTGGTATTCAAATCTTTGTCCTGTGTCATGGATTTGTCTATGTCTTCTTGCAGTTTTATCAGTTGTTGTATCTTTTCTTGTTCATAGCTTTCATAACTCTGTTATTAGATGCACAAATATTTAGGAATGTTTTGTACTCTTAATGTATTGCCCCTTTATCATTATGAAATGTTTTAAAAAATTCTCATTATCATTCTTTGCTCTGAAATTTACTTTGTCTGATATTTATATAGTCATTCTTCTTAAAACGACATTAGCATGGTATAATATTTTTCATACTTTTTATTTTTAATCTATTTGTGTCTTTAAAGTGTTTTGCTTGTCAGCACCATATCATTGGGTTTTGCTTTTTTAGCCAGTTTAACAGAATCTACTTTTGAATTGGGGTGGGTAGGTTATTGTCACTTTGTCTGGTTATCAATATGGTCAGGTTTAAGCCTATTATCTTGCCATTTGCTTTATAATATCCCATATATAGTTTTTCCCCCTTTCCTCTTTTTCTGCCTTCCTTTAAGAAAGTATTTTTCATGATTCGATTTGATTTATTTGGGTGGCCTTTATTTCTTTACTTTACTTGGATAATTGCATTAGGAATTACAGTAAACATTTTAAAATAATCACGGTTTACCTTCAAGTGATATACCACTTCATGTTAATATAGAAACTATAATTGTATACATCCATTCCTGTCCTGGTCGTGTGCTTTTGCTGCTTCACATTTTATTTTTACATATGTTGTACACCTCACACTATTGTTATTATTTCATTTAAGCAGTCAGTTATCTTTTAAAGAAACTTAAATAACAAGAAAAACATCTATTTCAAACTTTTCAGCCTTGTATTTCCATAAATGAACACCAGCACAAAATATAACCTAAATATTGCGAAGAATTACAGGAGGGCTTGCCCATTCATAGACCCCTGCCTTAGAAAGTAACATTGTCATGTAGGCAATGGGAGTTCAAAAACACTAGAACTGGAAGTATTGGTCTTAATATGATTTCATTTACGATAATATTTGTGAGTCTTGTAGAAACTCTCATTGTAGTATGTTCATATAATGTCACATCATGCAGCCATGAAATAATAATTCTGAGAACTATGTAGCAAGGTAAGAAAATAATAATAAAATATTGTATGGCAAAAATAAGACATAAAGTTTAATGCACACTGTGAACATAACTACATATAGACATATGCTATTTATGATATTTTTCACTACAGGTAACAGAATATCTGATTAAAAGTGTGTAAATAATAAGTGCTTATTTTTTTCTCACTTCACTAAGTACACACCTTAATAAAGGTATGCTATTTCAGTGTTGACTCTCAAAGGTCAGTGCTGTGTGGATTTCTCTTAGCCGTCACCTCATGGTCATAAAATGGCTGAACATTTTTCTCCTCAAATCCTCACGTTCCTATTTTAACAGGAAGTAAAATATTTCCCAGAAGAAATAACTGCCCTACCTTAATCAAACTACCTCTCGGATCCCTTTGGCCACATGTCCTTGCTGCAAGGGAGTCTGGGAAAACAAGCACTTGGTATTTTCAGCATCTGTTGTGGAAGGGAGTTTTGTCTAACAAGAAAGAAAAGTTGGGAGACAACTGAAAATCTCAGGCACAATGAGTATATAAAAACACTCTAGAAATAAATTAACCAAGATAATAATAGATGGTAGTTTTTAAGTAATTTGGAACTTTTTTCTACATTTTTCAAATTTTCATAAGTATGCTCGTAATACTTTCATGAATAATTTAGTTATTTGAAGAGTGATTATCTTAGTTGCAGTGAGAAATAATAAACTAGAGCAACCCAAATTCTTCTTTTTTCTTTCTTAAGATAATGAGGTCAACCTGTGATATGGTTTGTCTGTGTCCCCACACAAATATTATCTTGAATTGTAGTTCCCATAATCCCCATATGTCATGGGAGGGCCAGATGGGGCAGTTTCCTCCATCCTGTTCTCATGCTACTGAGTTAGTTCTCATGAGATCTGATGATTTTATAAGGGGCTTCCCCCTTCACTGGGAACTTAATCTTCTCCTTCCTGTTGCATGTGAAGGATGTGTTTGCTTCCCCTTCCGACATGATTTTAAGTTTCCTAAGGCCTCCCAAACCCTGCAGAACTGTGAGTCAGTTAAACTTCTTTCCTTTATAAATTACGCAGTCTCAGTCAATTTTTTATAGCAGCATGAGAACAGACCAATACAACCTGGTTGTCTCGTTTTCAACTACCTAACTTTTGAATTGGGTAAAGCCTTGATTTCTTACATGAGACCATGATTTCTTACATGAGAAGAAATGTTAACTGCTCATCTCTTCCCTGCCCATCCCTAGTTTCATTATTGATGTTAATGACTTTTGTTTTGAGATGAGAATATAAAATTATTTGTGTAAATAATTGTTTTTCCAAAAGTGGAATTATTATTTTACTTCTAGTTATATATTTTTATGAGTGCTCTGCACATATTTATCAATTTTTAAATTTCTGATTTGGGATTAAAACACTATAATAAGCAACTGAACAAAAAAGTGTTTGTTCAACAAATAAGTCTTGTGGCATCATTTATTATGTTTAACTAGAGAAAGGTATATATAATTTTGTGTAATTTAAACAATTAATTTAAATTTAAACAAAAACATTACAAAAATGCAATGATGTAAATGCATGATTTGCCCACTTTCTTTATGATAAAATTAAAGCCCAGATGTCCATTGTGCCAAGGTGTTAATTTGGCACCATGCCTAAATTAAAAAATTGTGTGCTGAAAAAATTGAATGAAAGTTATTCTTATTCTTGGAACATTTATACATTTTTTCCCATTCATATGCCTTAGAGTCATTTCAGTGAATCTTTGTGAGGGGAGGAGGCCAATGCAGGTGCTTTCCTTATGATACTCACGTAAGATGAGAACAGCATTGATATCTTTGACAAGGTACTTAGACAAGACAAGAAAATAAGGAGTTCCGTGATTATAACGTCAATAGATGAATTTTCTTTCCTTCCTTATTGTTCTGTTGTGTCCGTCTTGTCTTTTTTTTTTTTTTTACCACTTCTATGCTCAACCACATATATAATTTTAATTTTATATTTTGGAAATTTTGGTTTAATTTAGTATTTTCCATAGAGCAATTATGAGTAGGAAAATTGTTAAGTAATCAGTAATTGTGTTGTAATTCAGGTTTAAATTTTTTTCTACTTACCAGTGAAGACAGGGGGAGAAGGAAACACAATATAAATGACTGTGTCAGTGTAAAATGTGTTGTGCCAAGTTTACATCATGGAATTAATTAAAATATTTTGTTCATATACAATTCTTGTCATTTTTGCAATTCTGCTTCATTATTTTTATTGTTTAATTGTTTAGTGTCATCAATATATTTGAAAAAAGTGTATTTATACTTTTTAAAATAATAAATAAAATAACAGGGAAGTGCATTATTAAAATGAAGACTCCCAGCTTTGTATAAGCAGTTACACAGCTACACCTAGTATTTCTGGGGGTAGGGGAGAAGCCATAAAACTCATCTACATGTTAATTCCTTTTGAAAATCTTAATGCATTTGACTTAAATCAATACCAACATCTTCTATTCAGACTTCTTAATATGCATCAGTTTTTCATACCTTTGTAAGATGGATATTGGAAATACTGTGAAGACATATAATATCATCTTTTCTACATACCCTGAAAAGTAGAATTTGGCATAAGGCTGGTTTAACTTGTACGACATTCAGCTGAATTAATTTCTGTTAGGGCCAGAAAAAATAAGAGTATTGAAGATGTGATTCTTCTTTAATATTGATCCTGAAATTATAGCATGATGGCAAGACCCTGTTACACTCTAATCTCCAACTGAATAATGCACATATATAATAAAGCAGTGGTTGTATATTAATCCTAAGCTATCCATTCTGTCTTATAGAAATATATAGGTTTTTTCTCTATTTCCTCCATATATTCAAATTAGAGAATCTACCTTTTCCTGAGATTGACATCCTGACATGATGATGAAAATAATCAAGTTAAAGGAATTTGACATGCCACCAATCCTTTCTTAATTTATTTAGGATTCCAGTCTGTATCAGGAATTATGCCAGGTATTTGATATTTAGAGTTAAATAAAGTGAATTTTCTAATCTCAAATATCTTAATGTCTATAAGAAGAACAGACATGTGAATAATATATATCTGTCATATATTTATAACACCTAGTCAGAACCTGGCATACTGAGGGCAATTTAATAGTAATAGTAATAGTACCCCTACTGGTAGTAATAATAATAATGTCTGATATTGAAAGTTTATTAAATACCAGGAATTTTTTTGAGGACCTTATTCATTTATTGCTCTTAAAAATGCCATTATGGGGGGAGGAGCCAAGATGGCCGAATAGGAACAGCTCCGGTCTACAGCTCCCAGCGTGAGCGACGCAGAAGACGGTGATTTCTGCATTTCCATCTGAGGTACCGGGTTCATCTCACTAGGGAGTGCCAGACAGTGGGCGCAGGCCAGTGTGTGTGCGCACCGTGCGCGAGCCGAAGCAGGGCGAGGCATTGCCTCACCTGGGAAGCGCAAGGGGTCAGGGAGTTCCCTTTCCGAGTCAAAGAAAGGGGTGACGGACGCACCTGGAAAATCGGGTCACTCCCACCCGAATATTGCGCTTTTCAGACCGGCTTAAGAAACGGCGCACCACGAGACTATATCCCACACCTGGCTCGGAGGGTCCTACGCCCACGGAATCTCGCTGATTGCTAGCACAGCAGTCTGAGATCAAACTGCAAGGCGGCAGCGAGGCTGGGGGAGGGGCGCCCGCCATTGCCCAGGCTTGCTTAGGTAAACAAAGCAGCCGGGAAGCTCGAACTGGGTGGAGCCCACCACAGCTCAAGGAGGCCTGCCTGCCTCTGTAGGCTCCACCTCTGGGGGCAGGGCACAGACAAACAAAAAGACAGCAGTAACCTCTGCAGACTTAAGTGTCCCTGTCTGACAGCTTTGAAGAGAGCAGTGGTTCTCCCAGGACGCAGCTGGAGATCTGAGAACGGGCAGACTGCCTCCTCAAGTGGGTCCCTGACTCCTGACCCCCGAGCAGCCTAACTGGGAGGCACCCCCAGCAGGGGCACACTGACACCTCACACGGCAGGGTATTCCAACAGACCTGCAGCTGAGGGTCCTGTCTGTTAGAAGGAAAACTAACAACAAGAAAGGACATCTACACCGAAAACCCATCTGTACATCACCATCATCAAAGACCAAAAGTAGATAAAACCACAAAGATGGGGAAAAAACAGAACAGAAAAACTGGAAACTCTAAAACGCAGAGCGCCTCTCCTCCTCCAAAGGAACGCAGTTCCTCACCAGCAACAGAACAAAGCTGGATGGAGAATGATTTTGACGAGCTGAGAGAAGAAGGCTTCAGACGATCAAATTACTCTGAGCTACGGGAGGACATTCAAACCAAAGGCAAAGAAGTTGAAAACTTTGAAAAAAATTTAGAAGAATGTATAACTAGAATAACCAATACAGAGAAGTGCTTAAAGGAGCTGATGGAGCTGAAAACCAAGGCTCGAGAACTACGTGAAGAATGCAGAAGCCTCAGGAGCCGATGCGATCAACTGGAAGAAAGGGTATCAGCAATGGAAGATGAAATGAATGAAATGAAGCGAGAAGAGAAGTTTAGAGAAAAAAGAATAAAAAGAAATGAGCAAAACCTCCAAGAAATATGGGACTATGTGAAAAGACCAAATCTACGTCTGATTGGTGTACCTGAAAGTGATGTGGAGAATGGAACCAAGTTGGAAAACACTCTGCAGGATATTATCCAGGAGAACTTCCCCAATCTAGCAAGGCAGGCCAACGTTCAGATTCAGGAAATACAGAGAACGCCACAAAGATACTCCTCGAGAAGAGCAACTCCAAGACACATAATTGTCAGATTCACCAAACTTGAAATGAAGGAAAAAATGTTAAGGGCAGCCAGAGAGAAAGGTCGGGTTACCCTCAAAGGAAAGCCCATCAGACTAACAGCGGATCTCTCGGCAGAAACCCTACAAGCCAGAAGAGAGTGGGGGCCAATATTCAACATTCTTAAAGAAAAGAATTTTCAACCCAGAATTTCATATCCAGCCAAACTAAGCTTCATAAGTGAAGGAGAAATAAAATACTTTATAGACAAGCAAATGTTGAGAGATTTTGTCACCACCAGACCTGCCCTAAAAGAGCTCCTGAAGGAAGCGCTAAACATGGAAAGGAACAACCGGTACCAGCCGCTGCAAAATCATGCCAAAATGTAAAGACCATCGAGACTAGGAAGAAACTGCATCAACTAATGAGCAAAATCACCAGCTAACATCATAATGACAGGATCAAATTCACACATAACAATATTAACTTTAAATATAAATGGACTAAATTCTGCAATTAAAAGACACAGACTGGCAAGTTGGATAAAGAGTCAAGACCCATCAGTGTGCTGTATTCAGGAAACCCATCTCACGTGCAGAGACACACATAGGCTCAAAATAAAAGGATGGAGGAAGATCTACCAAGCCAATGGAAAACAAAAAAAGGCAGGGGTTGCAATCCTAGTCTCTGATAAAACAGACTTTAAACCAACAAAGATCAAAAGAGACAAAGAAGGCCATTACATAATGGTAAAGGGATCAATTCAACAAGAGGAGCTAACTATCCTAAATATTTATGCACCCAATACAGGAGCACCCAGATTCATAAAGCAAGTCCTCAGTGACCTACAAAGAGACTTAGACTCCCACACATTAATAATGGGAGACTTTAACACCCCACTGTCAACATTAGACAGATCAACGAGACAGAAAGTCAACAAGGATACCCAGGAATTGAACTCAGCTCTGCACCAAGCAGACCTAATAGACATCTACAGAACTCTCCACCCCAAATCAACAGAATATACATTTTTTTCAGCACCACACCACACCTATTCCAAAATTGACCACATAGTTGGAAGTAAAGCTCTCCTCAGCAAATGTAAAAGAACAGAAATTATAACAAACTATCTCTCAGACCACAGTGCAATCAAACTAGAACTCAGGATTAAGAATCTCACTCAAAGCTGCTCAACTACATGGAAACTGAACAACCTGCTCCTGAATGACTACTGGGTACATAACGAAATGAAGGCAGAAATAAAGATGTTCTTTGAAACCAACGAGAACAAAGACACCACATACCAGAATCTCTGGGACGCATTCAAAGCAGTGTGTAGAGGGAAATTTATAGCACTAAATGCCTACAAGAGAAAGCAGGAAAGATCCAAAATTGACACCCTAACATCACAATTAAAAGAACTAGAAAAGCAAGAGCAAACACATTCAAAAGCTAGCAGAAGGCAAGAAATAACTAAAATCAGAGCAGAACTGAAGGAAATAGAGACACAAAAAACCCTTCAAAAAATCAATGAATCCAGGAGCTGGTTTTTTGAAAGGATCAACAAAATTGATAGACCGCTAGCAAGACTAATAAAGAAAAAGAGAGAGAAGAATCAAATAGACACAATAAAAAATGATAAAGGGGATATCACCACCGATCCCACAGAAATACAAACTACCATCAGAGAATACTACAAACACCTCTACGCAAATAAACTAGAAAATCTAGAAGAAATGGATACATTCCTCGACACATACACTCTCCCAAGACTAAACCAGGAAGAAGTTGAATCTCTGAATAGACCAATAACAGGCTCTGAAATTGTGGCAATAATCAATAGTTTACCAACCAAAAAGAGTCCAGGACCAGATGGATTCACAGCCGAATTCTACCAGAGGTACATGGAGGAACTGGTACCATTCCTTCTGAAACTATTCCAATCAATAGAAAAAGAGGGAATCCTCCCTAACTCATTTTATGAGGCCAGCATCATTCTGATACCAAAGCCGGGCAGAGACACAACCAAAAAAGAGAATTTTAGACCAATATCCTTGATGAACATTGATGCAAAAATCCTCAATAAAATACTGGCAAACCGAATCCAGCAGCACATCAAAAAGCTTATCCACCATGATCAAGTGGGCTTCATCCCTGGGATGCAAGGCTGGTTCAATATACGCAAATCAATAAATGTAATCCAGCATATAAACAGAGCCAAAGACAAAAACCACATGATTATCTCAATAGATGCAGAAAAAGCCTTTGACAAAATTCAACAACCCTTCATGCTAAAAACTCTCAATAAATTAGGTATTGATGGGACGTATTTCAAAATAATAAGAGCTATGTATGACAAACCCACAGCCAATATCATACTGAATGGGCAAAAACTGGAAGCATTCCCTTTGAAAACCGGCACAAGACAGGGATGCCCTCTCTCACCGCTCCTATTCAACATAGTGTTGGAAGTTCTGGCCAGGGCAATCAGGCAGGAGAAGGAAATAAAGGGTATTCAATTAGGAAAAGAGGAAGTCAAATTGTCCCTGTTTGCAGACGACATGATTGTTTATCTAGAAAACCCCATCGTCTCAGCCCAAAATCTCCTTAAGCTGATAAGCAACTTCAGCAAAGTCTCAGGATACAAAATCAATGTACAAAAATCACAAGCATTCTTATACACCAACAACAGACAAACAGAGAGCCAGATCATGGGTGAACTCCCATTCACAATTGCTTCAAAGAGAATAAAATACCTAGGAATCCAACTTACAAGGGATGTGAAGGACCTCTTCAAGGAGAACTACAAACCACTGCTCAAGGAAATAAAAGAGGAGACAAACAAATGGAAGAACATTCCATGCTCATGGGTAGGAAGAATCAATATCGTGAAAATGGCCATACTGCCCAAGGTAATTTACAGATTCAATGCCATCCCCATCAAGCTACCAATGACTTTCTTCACAGAACTGGAAAAAACTACTTTAAAGTTCATATGGAACCAAAAAAGAGCCCGCATTGCCAAGTCAATCCTAAGCCAAAAGAACAAAGCTGGAGGCATCACGCTACCTGACTTCAAACTATACTACAAGGCTACAGTAACCAAAACAGCATGGTACTGGTACCAAAACAGAGATGTAGATCAATGGAACAGAACAGAGCCCTCAGAAATAATGCCGCATATCTACAACTATCTGATCTTTGACAAACCTGAGAAAAACAAGCAATGGGGAAAGGATTCCCTATTTAATAAATGGTGCTGGGAAAACTGGCTAGCCATATGTAGAAAGCTGAAACTGGATCCCTTCCTTACACCTTATACAAAAATCAATTCAAGATGGATTAAAGATTTAAACGTTAAACCTAAAACCATAAAAACCCTAGAAGAAAACCTAGGCATTACCATTCAGGACATAGGCGTGGGCAAGGACTTCATGTCCAAAACACCAAAAGCAATGGCAACAAAAGACAAAATTGACAAATGGGATCTAATTAAACTAAAGAGCTTCTGCACAGCAAAAGAAACTACCATCAGAGTGAACAGGCAACCTACAACATGGGAGAAAATTTTTGCAACCTACTCATCTGACAAAGGGCTAATATCCAGAATCTACAATGAACTCAAACAAATTTACAAGAAAAAAACAAACAACCCCATCAAAAAGTGGGCGAAGGACATGAACAGACACTTCTCAAAAGAAGACATTTATGCAGCCAAAAAACACATGAAGAAATGCTCATCATCACTGGCCATCAGAGAAATGCAAATCAAAACCACTATGAGATATCATCTCACACCAGTTAGAATGGCAATCATTAAAAAGTCAGGAAACAACAGGTGCTGGAGAGGATGCGGAGAAATAGGAACACTTTTACACTGTTGGTGGGACTGTAAACTAGTTCAACCATTGTGGAAGTCAGTGTGGCGATTCCTCAGGGATCTAGAACTAGAAATACCATTTGACCCAGCCATCCCATTACTGGGTATATACCCAAATGAGTATAAATCATGCTGCTATAAAGACACATGCACACGTATGTTTATTGCGGCACTATTCACAATAGCAAAGACTTGGAACCAACCCAAATGTCCAACAATGATAGACTGGATTAAGAAAATGTGGCACATATACACCATGGAATACTATGCAGCCATAAAAAATGATGAGTTCATATCCTTTGTAGGGACATGGATGAAATTGGAAACCATCATTCTCAGTAAACTATCGCAAGAACAAAAAACCAAACACCGCATATTCTCACTCATAGGTGGGAATTGAACAATGAGATCACATGGACACAGGAAGGGGAATATCACACTCTGGGGACTGTGGTGGGGTCGGGGGAGGGGG
This sequence comes from Homo sapiens, assembly GCF_000001405.40. Classification (NCBI taxonomy): domain Eukaryota; kingdom Metazoa; phylum Chordata; class Mammalia; order Primates; family Hominidae; genus Homo; species Homo sapiens. The sequence goes on along the minus strand of NC_000007.14, from coordinate 113,776,268 downwards.
GAGGGATAGCATTGGGAGATATACCTAATGCTAGATGACACATTAGTGGGTGCAGCGCACCAGCATGGCACATGTATACATATGTAACTAACCTGCACAATGTGCACATGTACCCTAAAACTTAGAGTATAATAAAAAAAAAAAAAAAAAAATGCCATTATGTAGATGCATGATTTGTCCATTTTCTTTATGACAAAACTAAAGCTCAGATGGTCATTGTGTCAAGGTGTTAACTTGGTACCATGGCCAGCTCTATCTGGTGATACCAAGGAAAACTTCACAGATGTGCTGAACTCTGAAGAAAGAATACAAATTTACCAGGCAGAAAAATCAAGGCAGTGGATAGGCAAAGGGAACAGCCAGTGTAAAGAGGCAGGAGAGATAAAAAGGAGTAGAAATCTGAGTATTTCAGTCAACTGCAACTTTAGAGTCTAGACAGAGAACGAAGATGAATTTGCAGAAGCAGGTAGGTGGTCAATCAAGGAAGGAAGATGTTACTTGCAATAGTAAGGGTTTAAATGTAACAAAGAAGAGGGATAAGGTGTAGGAAATTTTTAAAAGATAAGGACTACAGAACTTACTGATATAAAATGTGAGGAAAAGGGAAAAAATCTAAGGAATTCCAAGTTTGTGGCTTGGGTGAGTAAATGAGTGAGTTATTCAAAAGGGTGAGGAGGTTGAGTGGGAAGACTAAAATTTCAGTTTTGGGCCAAGTGATTTTGAGTTGTCTATCAAATATACAGGTGGTATGCCAAGTAAGCACGTATATATTTCTCAGAAGAGAAAGCTGAACAGGAAAAACAGGAATATCACTAGTGTGTATGGTGTTTGCCAAATCCAGGAACAGAGAGGACCCTGGGGACTGTGTAGAGTGAGAAGAGAATGGATAGAGTGAGAAGAGGATGGCAATAGAAATAAGATAGCAAAATAGAATGAGAAGGAAAAACAAGAATTATAGGAGAAAGAAAACAGAGACACAAGAGAAATTGGTGTTTTTGAAAGCAGGAGAAATTGGTGTTTTCGAAAGAGAAATTGGTGTTTTTGAAAGCATTTCTCTTCTCATGTCTGTTCCACACCTATATTGCTCCTCAGTATGAAAATATACAACCAGGTGAAAAAAGATTAACATCTCAATTGAACACTTAAAAATTATTTTTCTGTTTCACCCTGAAAATCATTTTTTCATCTGTCTTATTAGTCTGAATTCATGTCTGAATCAATGATATGAAATCTATAATCATTTGAATATTTTCATTCTCCTAGATAGCTTGTTAGACATCAGGCATACATTTAAATAGGTAGAGTTTATTTTTATTTTTGTTCTTATTTTACAATGAAGTGTTCTAAAAAGATAAACAGTAGTATATACAGAGCCTACTGTACAAACCACAAGGTTTTGTCATATATATTTTCAAAAATGTTTATTGAATAATTAATACACGGATAAAAAAGGGGTCTATTACTCTAAATCCCTTTAAGGTAGTGTTGGTCACAATGGACTCATTTAATTTTAAACATCTATTTTAAATGTTACCTTAACTTTGCCCCAGCAGAATTAAACTAATGCTTAAAGAATGGAGCATATCTAGGGCAAAATACTCCCAATCCCTACTTTTGAATGATGCAAATCAAGTACCTTATTCGAAAATTTAAATCTCACAATTCCTTTAGCAAAACTTTTAAAACCTGGGAAAAATAAAATGGTATTGTATATTTTCTTGAGTGACCAGCAAACCACATGCATTTTAAATTTAGATATCTGACAGGGAAGTGTTACATGTCTGTGGCAGGATTAATTTTTGCTCTGTCAGAACTGACCTGGTGCTGTAGTTATTTTAAGCTCTGGAAATACAGAAGTGTTATGGTTGCCAAATACTAGGTGCCATCTAGCGGCCATTGGGAGTTAAGATAAATGTTCACAATAATTCCAAAGTGTTCTGATTATTTCCCCAATTTTTAAAATCATTTTTAAATCATGGTGAGTTACATTTATTGCTTTCTAATTACACAATCCAGCTTTTTCAGGTTTCAAGTCCCTCAAATTTATATTCCTGCAAAAGAAATATCCTTCAGCGCTATTGCTGTTAGTGTTAGAATCTTGATTGGTTTAACTTTTCAACTTTGGGTCAAGAGATTTTCTTTCTTGATTTTAGTAGAAGGGACATTACCCATATAATACATTCTTATTAAAATGAGTGTTGGAGAGATTGTATTGTTTTCCAAAAGGCTCAAATTTATGTTTTACTTTTCTTCCCTAAATTAGAGTTGTTTATAATTTGAGGATGCCCTTCCAAGGTAGACTAAGGGTCAAGTAGAAGCATTTGAGTGATATTACTAATTCCCATAGTTAATCATTTTGAATGTAGAAAATTAATAGCTTTGCATTTGTGTAAAAGACAGATGTAAAGTTTCATGAAAACCTTTAACATTTTGGGATTCTTAAGTAGGACAAATTTTGATCCAGTGAGAAATGTGGACAAAATCCAGGTCTGGTGCTTTCCGTCTCCAAGAACTTGTCGGAAATAAAAAATTAATAAATTATAGTGTACGTAATTGTCTTTGGTAAGCATAATAATGTTGTGATAACATTATTTGATATTGATACTTATTATGACAACGAATAGTAAATACGATTATAATGCATTTTACCACATGAAAGTAAAAACTGAGAAACATTAAACACTATTATTATCTTGCCATCTGGCATTTATATATATTTATTATGTAGTTTTGATGCAGCACATTGGTTTTATTTTGGCAACAGTTAATCATTTATTTCTTTTGGGAAGTCATATTCAATTTGGAAAATTGTACTTTAGCTCTGTGGTAAAGCAAAGGTTTTATTAAGGTTCTGTAATTTGGACTGGAAAGACACCATTTCAGTGTCACAATCCTGCTGTGCCTATAGGAAATGAAATACTTAGAACTCATAAATATCATATGTTTAGTAGGGATTATATACAAGATGCCTGGGCAAGGGCTACATTCAGTCAATCAACAAATATTTATTTTACTTATTTATGTATTTATTGAGACAGAGTCTCCCTCTGTCACCCAGGCTGGGGTGCAGTGGTGTGATCTCAGCTCACTGCAACCTCCACCTCCTGGGTTCAAGCGATTCTTATGCCTCAGCCTCCAGAGTAGCTGGGATTACAGGAGTGTGCCACCATGCCTGGCTAATTTTTGTATTTTTAGTAGAGACGGGGTTTCACCATGTTGGCCAGGCTGGTCTCAAACTCCTGGCCTCAAGTGATCTGCCTGCCTCGGCCTCCCAAAGTGCTAGGATTACAGGCATGAGCCACCATGCCTGGCCCACAAATATTTATTGAATATATACCATTAGCAAGGAGCTAGGAATATATCTTTGAACAAGAAAGACAATGTTGTCGCCTTTAAGAGGATAGTATCTTAGGAGTAATATTTACAAGAGATATTTGATGGACAAGTAAAAACTAAATAATAACATTACAGTTAGTAAAAAATAAACTCATAGTGGATTGGAGAATGAGACTATTTAGATGCAAAATAGAAAAATGTTTAAAAGGGTCCTTAATCATTTACTTGATGATTTGTAAATATTGGAAGGTGCTTTTATAGGCACTTCTGTAGGCACTTTATATTCAGACAGTAGTTTGATACAATATTCCTTCCTATCATAACCCATGCCGTTATAGTGAGTTAACACCTGTCTCTGAGTTTTAAAAATTAAATACTAATGAAAGCAGTAACCCATCACTGTAACTCTGTGCCTCACTATACAACGCTCTGAAGAGATGTGTGTAACCAGGTTATTGAAATATTTAACTTAGTAGGACATAACATGAAATTATTTTATTTTTTTACCAATGATTGCCCCAATAAGGACTAAGTTAAGTCTTACTTTCCTGATGGGTAGCAGATCTTCTAAAAATTTTTAAGCAGATTTCCAAAGCTTTGCAGTCATTTACAGTTATCATAATCTATAATTTTAATACCAGAATCAGTCATTTTAATATGAGATTATTCAAGTTCAGTTATCTGCAGCAGCATCTATTTAATCAGTAGAAAATGGGTACATCCCTTGCCATGCCAAAGAAGAGGAGTGGCAGTTTTGATCATTTGGAGGCTGTGGGACAGAACAAATGCGAAATTCAGAGAGGACAAGGGAGGCCTGATTTGAACACTAAAATTTCCAAAATGAAAGATGGAACAATGGTAGAGAGGTATTGTGATGGAGATTAGTATGTGGGACACATTAAACCACTGCTTAATTTATGATCAAAGTAGACTTCGACTCCCCAGCTTTTTTCGGCCTTATTATTAATACTCAGCATAGCCCAGGCAACATAGCAGGGAGTAAATAGTGTGATTTTTATTTTAAGTTGAAGGCTCATTAATTGTTTGCCAGGTTCAAATACAAGATATCTAAGGAGGTGAAGGACTGGAAAAGGTTGGGTGGAAAAGGTTGGGTAGAAAAGGGAGACGGCTGAATTCAGTTAAACAAACAGTAAAGTGTATCACTAACTTACTAATAGCTGGTTATTTTAAACACAATTGGTTATATGGATGTCACTTTAGGTAGCATTCTATACTGTTTAAAGTTATTTATAAAATACCTAATATTTGTTATAAAATATTGTTTCCTTATTAAAAAAGTGATGAGTAAATAAAATCACTTTTTGAACTTATACTTTTATCCTTTATGTCTATTTTATTTGTGAAATATACATATTGAAACTATGCCTAGAAAGTTCTTTCAGTTCCTTACAGAAAATAATTCTATAACTACAAGGTTCTATTATTATTATATAGTGGGTGTTAGACAATACGAAGCCTACATGACTCAGTTATATTTTCATAGCACTTTTATTTTTTTAGCATAATTGTCTTTGTAATAGCATAAAATGACATTGTGGGGATAATGCTCTATTGAATTGGAGCCCACAGAAATCTGTGTGAATATGCATTTAGCACTCTGTATCACACCTTATTAATGACAGTATAAATGTTAATACAGTTTTATTGCTGTAAGAAATGTTGGCTGTACTTATTTATTTTCATGTTTGTTTCTTTTATGATGGAAGTAAAGGAAAAGGAGATTAGGCGTGGATGAGACTTTTAATGGAGGTTTTGCTGGTAAAATATTTGAATTTCTATTCCCATTGCACACTACTTGGTCAAGTGAGGAAACACATTGGTCCCTTTCTTCTGAGATATCTTGTCTCCTTTGGGAATAGAGAAATAAAGAGTTCACATAAATGATATTTACAAATATGATACAAAATATTATTCATTTTGTCTCTGTGGTATAAATCTTTCTAACATGGATTATATGCATTCCAATATTCATAAAATTAGATAAATACAATAACATTTGCTTGAGAAAAAGCAATATAAAGTAAAATTACTACAGATATTTATGGGAAGGAGAAAAATATGCCAGGGAGTAAAAAAGAAATACAATAGACCTGTTTAGTGTAAGTAGCTTCTAGGAAGAGAAAGGGATATGACAGTGACACGGAGTGCTGGGAAGGGAAGAGCATGGTACCCTTTAAGTTATACGGAAGTGGGGAAGGGAATTGCTGGGTAGAGGAGGGCGTGGTCCCTGGCTGGGGCTCCACCCCCATGGACCTAGGTGAGGACAGGCGTTTCCTGCCGAGATGTTGCATTTCCCAAGACCACTCTGACCTGCCACACCCCCATCCACCTGAGACCCTAGCAAGGCAGAGACAGAGGCAGCTAGCTGGAGGTGGAGAGGAGGACATCAGTGGAGGAACCCACAGAGGCACCTGGACGTGGAGAGGAGCATATAGGTGGGGGAACACACGGGCAGCTGGACTTCGAGAGGAATGCACCAACAGGCACTGGCAGGCTGATGGGCCACCAACTGGCAGAACTAAGCACAGTTTGGCCAGGGCAGTCAGAGGAGAGCCCAGGCGGCCCGGGCCGCTGAGTGCCCTAACTCCAGAGGAAATCCATCTCCCTTCTGGCTCCCCCATCTGCTGAGAGCTACTTCCACTCAATAAAACCTTGCACTCATTCTCCAAGCCCAGGTGTGATCCGATTCTTCTAGTACACCAAGGCAAGAACCCAGGATACAGAAAGCCCTCTGTCCTTACGACAACATAGAGGGACTGAGCTGGTTAACACAAGCCTATAGACGGAAAAACTAAATGAGCAAAACTAAAAGAGCATCCTGTAACACATGCCCACTGGGGCTTCAGGAGCTGTAAACATTTACCCCTAGACACAGCCGTGAGGTCGGAGCCCCAGAGCCTGCCCGTCTGTATGCTCCCCTAGAGGTTTGAGCAGCTGGGCACTGAATAAGTGAGCCACACCCCCATTGCATGCCCTACTAGGAGGACAAGGGAACGTTTCCTGTTTCAAAAGGAAGTACAGGAGTAGGAGATAGAGAAAGGCAGGAGGTATTGAAGAAAGACTTTTTCTTTTAAAAGTTTCTGTATCTTTACCCTTTACCCTCCTCTTTTTTTGGAGGACTAGATGGAAAGTATTTTAAGGCCAGCATTAGCAATGTTTAAGTTCACGGGTTCTTGCCTTAGAGTTAAATTAAACCATCTGTTTAGACATAATAGGTTTGCTTCTTGTGTTTATCTGCTATCCCTCAAACCCCATTGAAATGACAGTAAAGACAAGAGTGCAGTTTTAGGCCAAAAGGAAGAATAAAGTTTTAGGGAAGAGATGAAAAATGGATGAAACCTTTCAACAAAATTTTACAAGAAGGAAATCAAAAGGAAGATTGGTAACTAACTTAAGGTGGAACTGAGGCAATGTAAGATATGTATGTAAGAAGAGAAGAGAAAGCAAGAAAAGCATTGACAATTTGCTCCAGAAACTCTGAAAAACAGTGATTAGAAGCATCAGCTAATGACAAAAGGGGGAGGATGAGATTGATGGTCTTATTCAGAGCAATTGGGTCCTTGGGGCTCCTCGTTCTTCCTGAGAAGCTCACTACCACCTCTCTCATCTTTAAAGGGCACACTCCTTCCTGATACAATGAATGAAAACAGATCCTTGACAAGGGATATTCTCAGGATATTGCAAAACAACATGAAGCTACTCCTATGTAAATAGAGGATCCAAAAAGTGACAGACACGTGACAGATCATAAACAGTAACTGGAAATCAGAATGCAGTTGGAATTATCTTAAAAATAACCCTGAGAATTAGAAAATAATGAAGCAATACTTTCAAATTTCAGCTTAGCTTAAAGCACCCAGCCAAACTATCAATTAAGTATGAGACTAGAATAAAGATGCTTCCTAGTGTACATAGACAAAAAGTATATGCCCAAAACATTTTTTCTTAGCAACCTAATAAAGGTTACGTTTTGGCAAAACATAAGTGTAAACATCATTTTGGTCAAAATGAAACATTCATTTACAATTATTGATGAGTTTCTCTATTTGGGAGTTACTTTAACCACAGATTCAATGGAATCTGTCTATGTTAAATATGTCTATGTTAAAACTTTCTAGTTTATGGAGTACAACCACATAAAGCAAGTCAACAAATACCCAGAATGTGAAGGTATGAGGCACTATGTTTAGTATTTTCATGTTATTGTAGTTCTCTTCCTGTGGTTTCACAAAGTAGAGCTGTTCTATTTTTAGATATAACTTTGCCTGCAAATGCAATCACTTTAGGAGACTTCTGAATTGCCTTCTGGGATTTTTTTTCTATGCCAATTATTATAGGAAGAAAACAAAGAAGCTAGTGTGAAAGGAAGAAAGTAATGTTTAAAGATAAGTTACTCTTCAGACTTCCTCAATGTCTACGTTCTTGAAGATCTTATATACCTTTGATCTCATTAAGTATTTACTGAGCATATGTGGACAAAGTCCTCCACTAGGAGGTAGGCTTAAGATATGACCCTTCTCTCAGTCACTTTAAAGTCTAATTCAGTTAGTTTATGGTCAAGAAATACATTCCATTTCCTCTGCGTTATCCAATTTGTTGGCATATAGTTGTTCATAATAGTCCCCTTATGATTTTCTTTATTTCTGAGGCATCTGTTGTAACTTCTCCATTTTCATTTCTGATTTTGAGTCTTTCCTCTTTTACAAAAAAAAACTAATCCAGCTAGGGATTTGATAAATTCCTAGAAATATAGAACATACCACAATTGAATCAAGAAGAAATAGAAAGGCTGAATAGACCAATAAAAAATAAAGAGATCGAAGTAGTAATTTAAAACCTCTCAACAAAGAAAAGCTCAGGACCAGATGGCTTCATGGCTAAATTCTACCAAACATTAAAAAAAGAATGACTATCAATCCTTCTTAAACTCTTCAATAAATAAAAAAAGGAAATATTTCCACACTCTTTTTATGAGTCCAGCTTTACCCTGACACCAAAGGTAGACAAAAACACCACAAGAAAATTTTATGTCAATATCTCTGAAGAACATAGAAGCAAAAATCCTCAATAAAATGCTAGAAAATAAAATTCAACAATATTATAATAAAAAGATTGTACATTATGACTGAGTGGGATTTGTCCTTGGGATGCAAGCTTGGTTTAACATAAGCAATTGGTCAATGTGATACATCACATTAACAAAATGAAAGATTAAAACCACATGATCATCTCAATAGAGGCAGAAAAATATTTGACAAAGTTCAACATTCTTCCATAACAAAAACTCAACAAATTAGATGTAGAATAAAATATACTAAAACAAGAAAGAGCATGTATGATAATCAATGGGAAACACTAAAAACTTTTCTTTTAAGGTTCAATATAAGGCAAAAATGCTCACTGTCATTAATTCTATTCAACATAGTACCAGCAAGAGCAATGAGGTAAGAAAAAAAGGGAATTCAGATTGGAAAGAAAGAAGTTAAATTATCCCTATTTGCTGATGACATGATCCCACATGTGGAAAAATCTAAGTACTCCATAAAAAACTGTTGGAACTAATAAATAAATTTGCTAAAGTTGCAGGATACAAATCAACACACAAAAATCAGTTGCATTTCTGTACACCAATAATGACCTATCAGAAAAAGAAATCAAGAACACAACCCTATTTATAATAGCATCAAAAAGAATAAAATGCTTAGGAATAAATTTAACCAAGGAAGTGAAAAATCTTTACACTGGAAACTACAGAACATTGATGAAAGAAATTGAAGAAGACACAAATAATTGAAAAGATATCATGGGTTCATGGATTGGAAAAACTAGTATTGTTTAAATGCCCATACTACCCAAAGTGATCTATAGATTCAATGAAATTCCTATCAAAATTCCAATGGTATTTTTCAAAGAAATAGAAAAAAATCCTAAAAATTGTGTGAAACTACAAAAGATGCCAAGTAGCCAAAGCAATCTTGAGAAAGAAAAGCAAAGTTGGAGGCATCACACTTTCTGACTTCAAATTATATTACAAAGCTATCATCAACAAAACTTTATAATCCTGGTATAAAAACAGTCACATAGACCAGTGAAACACAATAGAGAGCCCAGAAATATTTTCAACAAGGGCACCAATAAAATACATTGGGGAAAGTTTCTTCAATAATTGGTGTTTAGAAAACTGGATCTCCATAAACAAAAGAATGAAATTTGCTCCTTATCTTACATCAGATGCAAAAATCAAATCAAAATGGATCAAAGATCTAATTGTAAGACCTGGAACTGTAAAACTTCTAGAAGAAAACAAAAGGGAGAAAACTCAGGGAATACATTTTGGATATCTCACCAAAAGCTCAGGCAAACACAACTAAAAATAAACAAGTGGTACTACATCAAACTAAAAAACTGCTGCACAGCAATGGAAACAATAAATAAAATTAAAAGTCAACCAATGGTTTTGGAGAAAATATTTGTGAATTATAAATTTGATAAGTGGTTAATATCCAAACTATATAAGAACTTCACACAACTTAATAGCAAAAAAAAAAAAAAAAGCAAAAAAAACCCAGAAAATTACCCTATTTAAAAATGGGGAAAGGACCTAACTAAACATTTCTTCAAAGAGACATAAAAATGACCCACATATATATGAAGAGGTTCTCAACATAACTAATTATAAGGGAAATGCAAATTAAAACCACAATGAGATATTATTTCAACTGTTATGATGGCTATTATCAAAAAGATAACAGATAAGTGTTGACAAGGGTATGGTGAAAAAAGAACCCTTTTATATATTGTTGGTGGGAATATAAATTCATGCAGCTGTTATGAAAAACAATATGAAGTTTGCTCAAAAAAATTAAAAATAGAATTGTCATATGTCCCTGAAATCTTCTTTTGGGTATGAACCCAAAGGAAATGAAATCAGCACCTTGTAGAGATATCTGTACTCCTAAGTTCATTACAACATTATTCATAATAGCCCAAATGGTGGTTACATATATTGGTGGTTAAATATATAAATGGTTACATATACCATTTATATATGGTGTGTATATATATAGAGAGAGAGGTGTGTGTGTGTGTGTATATATACATATATATATATCTTGCCATTCATAATATGGATGAATCTCTAAGGAATTATGTTAAGTGAAATAAGTCAAAGAACGACAGATACTGCATGATCTCAATTATGTGTAAAATCTTTAAAAAATCAAATATATAGAAACAGAGTAGAACAGTGGTTACTGAGGGCAGAGGTGGGGTGGGGTGGGTGGAGAATGAGAAGTAGAACAAAGTGTAGAAAGTTTTGTAGGGTGAAGCCTCGAGATCTGATGTATAGCACGAAGACTATAGTTAATAATATTATATTGAATACTGGAAATGTAATAGGATATATCTATACTATTATATAATGCTTATTTCTTAGAGTATAAACTTATAATTATAAATTCTTTCTCTGCCCTTCGAGATATATGTAAATATTTTTAAAAGTTTCTTGCCAGTTTTACAACCCAAGAATGTCTTTCTCAAAGGTCTGGGAGCCATCCTTTTGAAATGTAAACGTCAAGGGATATGGCACCCCTATCTCCAGTTTCTTTGGGAAGATAGAAGCCTAATTTGTGGCTACCTTGCTCCAAGTTCAAAACTACCACCTGTCATAAAGTCATGACTTTGTTTCTCCTTTGTGTAAACCCAATTACTAGGTGAATTTAGAATGAACTATGTAAGACAAATGATACTGTCAAATCTTCTTACTTAAGGACTAGTTATCGTTTGCCCTGAAAACACGTGTGAAATGGGTCATATCTGTTTGCCTTTATATAAGGGTGAGATTTCTTTCTGTGTTTATGATCTCTTAGTAGATTTCCTGTGATGGTCATCGTATTCTGGTTTAATGCTTTATCCAATAATAAAACTGTTTTCTTTCCCATCTACCTTTGTGGAGAGGTTTTTGGGTTGGGAAGATTTTGTTTTTAATTATATTTCCTCAACAACATAGAAGTGTTTTCCAAATATAACTGTTAAATATGAGTCACACACTCTCTCCACAGATCTGCTGAGTTAGAATTTCTCAGGGTCTAAGAATTTGTGTGTGTATGTGTATTTTAATGTTCCCTGGTGATTCTGTTGGACAAGCAATGAGATCCCGGACTAATTTATTATTTGTGTTGACTTATATAAACATTTATAAATTTCAGATGTGAAATATTTGGTGCCCAGTGAAAACATAAACTCCTAAGTTGCAGGGGTTCTATCTTGTTTGAATGTGGACTTCTATATAGGATCAGGTAGTAAGGGCATTAGCCACATAGTGGTGACTCAACAAATCCTGTTTTGTTTGTTGGCATTTTGACAATGCCTTGAGGAAAAATTTTATAATCTCTCTCAGAAATGTATTTCAATTTATCTCTCTTTTTTCTGTCTTTAGCCACTTATCCTAAATTCCTACTATTCCCCTTAAAGTCCCATCATCTCTTCTTAGCATATTACTTGGCATAGTACATCATAAGCTTAATTTTCAAAATTTAAACTCTACTTGGAATTATTATTATTCAGGTCCATCTCATTTGTCCCTATTTAATTACCATAAGAAAACAAAGAAAAGCAAAACATTCAAATCATTTTCCTTAATTTTCTGGTAGTTGTAAAATGTGATAGTGCTATAAAATATTTTCAGTTATATGGCATCTTTTATAAAAATATTTACTCATTTATTAATATAATGCCATAATTTATGAGATTCATAGGAATTATACTCATTGTATGGGTGAGTAAATTTATTTTGCACAGTAGCCTGTGTTGGCAATATAAATAGGAATTAAGTAGTTTATTTAAATATTTAAACTAATTAAAAATTTTGAACTGCCAAATAACTATGTCAATATCCAAGTTTATTTCTAAGTTTTCCTGTCTCATCCTAATGCAAGCTTTATGATGATAAACTTTTCCAAACTAATGTATATGTTTGTGCTTGGATTTGTTATTAATGATATGTGTTTATTATTCTGCCCCAATTCTTTTTTAAACAGTGAGCAATTGAATGTTTTAAGAAGGATTGAAGTGTCACAACAATTTATTGATTGGAAATAGATCACATTATGTAATTTTTGTCAGTTTTTCTCAAAGATTTCCTGGTCGAACTCATCAGAGTTACTCATCGTTAAAGTAGTGCCTCAGGGTTTAGTTCTTGGACTCTTATTTTTTTTCCAGTTATTTAAAACCTGGGTTCTTCATTTGGAGGCAATGCTAATTATCAAATTTGTGCTACTATCATGTGTGTTGGTGGTGTTTGTGTGTTTTATAAACTGTGTTTGCTTATGCAACTTCCAAAAGAATCTTCAAATACCGTATTACCCAGCTGAATGTTATCTAATTAACCAAGAAGTCCTGACAGACTGGGAGGTTATCATAAAATAATCACAGCCCTCAGGTGCTGTGAGGCACTGGGTGCAGCTAAGTGTCTCTAATTCCCCAAGGGGGTGATTAGCTGATGATAACAATGCTCCCTTGAGTTGTTTTATTGCTTTTATAAAAAAGTCTTTATTGTGGAGAAAACGTTTATTTTTATGCAGAAGGAAGACAGAGTTGACAGTTTAGATTGTAGAATGAATAGCAGTTACTTCTGACTTGTGGTACCCGCCATGACAAAGCTGCTCATTTGGAATGCTTCTCAGCCAATCTGAATGTTGTATGGGTGAGTAAATTTATTTTGCACAGTAGCCTGTGTGGGGAATATAAATAGGAAAGAAGTAGTTTATTTAAATATTTAAACTAATTAAAAATTTTGAACTGCCAAATAACTATGTCAATATCCAAGTTTATTTCTAAGTTTTCCTGTCTCATCCTAATGCAAGCGTTATTATAACAAAGTTTTCCAAACTAATGTATATATTTGTGCCTGGGTTGATTATTATTGATATGTGTTGCTATATAAGCTCCATGTTGACTACCTCAGTGCTTCTGCAATAAAGCCCAAATTTCATATAGGACAGTTGTAAAATTGTGTTTTCAAGTTAATGGTGTGGGTTTTCTATAATTAGAAAATGACCCATTTTGTAGAATAGCTGCATGTGAAAAACTGACCAATGATTCAATGCAAAACACAAACAAACAAACAAAAAACAAAAAAAAAACTTTGAATCATTTGGGTATTCAAATGAGTGGCCTCTGACCCCACAATTAAAGAGATCAGTTGATTTGGGAAATACAAATGAATACCAGTGAAACTGTGAGATAGACACCAGAAAGCTTTACCTCCTTTTGATGCTTCTCTATTTTCTCCCCACAAATCCAATGCCACATCTACATATCAGAGTGAATTTTAAAATAGTCCATTGGACAAGTCCATAGGGTGCCCAGTGGCTTCCACAGTGAAACAGAATAAAATGTGAACTCCTTCTGATGATTGGGAAAGCCTCACAAGAGCTGTTCCAGTGACTTCTCAGACCTCATGCCTACCTCCTTCAAGATGCTCCAGCTCTGCCAGCCTTCCTCCTCACACTGGAAAAGGCCACACTTTTCTCAGGGACTTTACACTTGTTATTCTCTCTGACTGAAACATTCTTTCAGGTCATCACCTGGCTACCTCCTCTCACCATTCCACTTTCAGCTTGAAAGTCACCACCTTAGAGAGGCCTTCCCTTTCCACTCTCCCTAAAATGAGCATCTCACACATAGTCTACTCTATTACCCTATTTTAGTTTCTTCATAGCAAATATTAACTATTGAAATTATATCATTAACTTGAGGTCTGTATTCACCAAGCAGAATGTAAGTTCATGAAGGCAGAGACCATCTCTCTTGCTTCCACTAGAGCCTCAACTATTTTACTAGTGTCTCACATGTAATAAACAGGCACAGAAATATTTGTTTAATTAATTTATAACGAATGTTACCATCATATATATTTTTGATTGCCTACTCATCATCCCTCACCTCCCTTCTTCCTAACGGAACTGAGATTTCAATTTTCAACCTTCTGCCTTCAGCTAATCTACATCAGGACAAGCTGGACCAAGGCCAGCTTCAAACAATGGGTCCCTGTGGCAGGTGAGCAAGGAATGGACATGCTGCCCAATGGAAGTCAATGAGACTTGATGAGGGACTTGGCAGAGATTTCTGAGAAAGTTTTTCATCACTTTTATATAAGAGCTTCAAGGACAAATTTCTCTTTGTTTCCTTGATCATTGTCATGGCACTTGCAAGGCAGATGAGTGACAAGAAACTCCTTCATTTAATCAGGAGTGTTTGCATCATTTAACAGATATTATTTGTTTACAGAGAAGATTGAAAACCTTGATTTTCATGGGAGTTTAAATTTATTGTAGTGTTATTTTGTGTAGCCTCTAGGATCCTTTGATTCAGAGAAGCAAGGGTTGATCTTATGTAGAAGGCCATCCTACATGCACAGACAAACTAGGCAAATCAAACCATTATAAAAATTACACAATTAGTTTATTTATGTAAATAGTGTTTCATATTCTATTCTGCAAAACCTTAAAGATTTTATTTACAATGTTTTGATTTCCCATTTTTATTAGCAGATAAGCTACTAAATACACTATTTAAGGGTCATAAATAAATGGTTTTCACTGCCATGGTATGCCAGAAATAAATATGAAATTCTCCAGAATTCCTAAGTCAACTTTTGAATCTAAAAGTCAGCATTAATGGGGGAAAATTTAGGTGCCAAGAGGCCTGATATCTGAAAAATAAACATGATATGAATGTTAGTAAAATAAATTAGAACTGAAAGAAGGATATAGTTTGAAAAGTAAACATGAGTTTAATCTTAAATGGGAAGCTAAGCATTTAATGTTGAAATAGAGAGAAACACATATGATGAATAATATAAAAAAGGCTGGGCAAACTATAGAAGAATACTTTTTGTTTATATAATGCTCCTTTCCCCTTAAAAAGTTCTGTGCTGTATTTATTCTCACTAAAATATGATATATAGAATATTTACTAATAAGCATATGTAGTTTTGAATAATGATGATAGTAGCTAACATTTATGGAGTAATTGCTGTGTGCCAGCCATTGTTGTTCTAGGGTTTTATGCACATTAACTCAACTTAATTTTTTTTATTATACTTTAAGTTTTAGGGTACATGTGCACAACGTGCAGGTTTGTTACATATATATACATGTGCCATGTTGGTGTGCTGCACCCATTAACTCCTCATTTAACATTAGGTATATCTCCTAATGCTATCCCTCCCCCCTCCACCTACCCCACAACAGGCCCCAGTGTGTGATGTTCCCTTTCCTGTGTGCATGTGTTCTCATTGTTCAATTCCCACCTATAAGTGAGAACATGTGGTGTTTGGTTTTTTGTCCTTGTGATAGTTTGCTGAGAATGATGGATTCCAGCTTCATCCATGTCCCTACAAAGGACATGAACTCATCATATTTTATGGCTGCATAGTATTCCATGGTGTATATGTGCCACATTTTCTTAATCCAGTCTATCACTGATGGACATTTGGGTTCGTTCCAAGTCTTTGCTATTGTGAATGGTGCCGCAATAAACATACATGTGCATGTGTCTTTATAGCAGCGTGATTTATAATCCTTTGGGTATATACCCAGTAATGGGATGACTGGGTCAAATGGTATTTCTAGTTCTAGATCCCTGAGGAATCGTCACACTGACTTATACAATGGTTGAACTAGTTGACAGTCCCACCAACAGTGTAAAAGCGTTCCTATTTCTCCACATCCTCTCCAGCACCTGTTGTTTCCTGACTTTTTAATGATCGCCATTCTGACTGGTGTGAGATGGTATCTCATTGTGGTTTTGAGTTGCATTTCTCTGATGGCCAGTGATGATGAGCACTTTTTCATGTGTCTTTTGGCTGCATAAATGTCTTCTTTTGAGAAGTGTCTGTTCATGTCCTTCGCCCACTTTTTGATGGGGTTGTTTGTTTTTTTCTTGTAAATTTGTTTGAGTTCATTGTAGATTCTGGATATTAGCCCTTTGTCAGATGAGTAGATTGCAAAAATTTTCTTCCATTCTGTAGGTTGCCTGTTCACTCTGATGGTAGTTTCTTTTGCTGTGCAGAAGCTCTTTAGTTTAATTGATCCCATTTGTCAATTTTGTCTTTTGTTGCCATTGCTTTTGGTGTTTTAGACATGAAGTCCTTGCCCATGCCTATGTCCTGAATGGTATTGCCTAGGTTTTCTTCTAGGGTTTTTATAGTTTTAGGTCTAACATTTAAATCTTTAATCCATCTTGAATTAATTTTAGTATAAGGTGTAAGGAAGGTATCCAGTTTCAGCTTTCTACATATGGCTGGCCAGTTTTCCCAACACCATTTATTATGTGGGGAATCCTTTCCCCATTTCTTGTTTTTGTCAGGTTCATCAAAGATCAGATAGTTTTAGATATGTGGCATTATTTCTCAGGGCTCTGTTCTGTTCCATTGGTCTGTATCTCTGTTTTGGTACCAGTACCATGCTGTTTTGGTTACTGTAGCCTTGTAGTATAGTTTGATGTCAGGTAGCATGATGCCTCCAGCTTTGTTCTTTTGGCTTAGGGTTGACTTGGCAATGCAGGCTCTTTTTTGGTTCCATATGAACTTTAAAGTAGCTTTTTCCAATTCTGTGAAGAAAGTCGTTGGTAGTTTGATGGAGATGGCATTGAATCTATAAATTACCTTGGGCAGTATGGTCATTTTCACAATATTGATTCTTCCTGCCCATGAGCATGGAATGTTCTTCCATTTGTTTGTATCCTCTTTTATTTCATTGAGCAGTGGTTTGTAGTTCTCCTTAAAGAGGTCCTTCACATCCCTTGTAAGTTGGATTCCTAGGTATTTTATTCTCTTTGAAGCAATTATGAATGGGAGTTCACTCATGATTTGGCTCTCTGTCTGTTATTGGTGTATAAGAATGCTTGTGATTTCTGCATATTGATTCTGTATCCTGAGACTTTGCTGAAGTTGCTTATCAGCTTAAGGAGATTTTGGGCTGAGACAATGGGGTTTTCTAGATATACAATCATGTCATCTGCAAACAGGGACAATTTGACTTCCTCTTTTCCTAATTGAATACCCTTTATTTCTTTCTCCTGCCTGATAGCCCTGGCCAGAACTTCCAACACTATGTTGAATAGGAGTGGTGAGAGAGGGCATCCCTGTCTTGTGCCAGTTTTCAAAGGGAATGCTTCCAGTTTTTGCCCATTCAGTATGATATTGGCTGTGGGTTTGTCATAGATAGTGCTTATTATTTTGAGACACATCCCATCAATACCTAATTTATTGAGAGTTTTTAGCATAAAGGGATGTTGAATTTTGTCAAAGGCCTTTTCTGCATCTATTGAGATAATCATGTGGTTTTTGTCGTTAGTTCTGTTTATATGCTGGATTACATTTACTGATTTGTGTATATTGAACCAGCCTTGCATCCCAGGGATGAAGCCCACTTGATCATGGTGGATAAGCTTTTTGATGTGCTGCTGGATTCGTTTTGCCAGTATTTTATTGAGGATTTTTGGATCAATGTTCATCAAGGATATTGGTCTAAAATTCTCTTTTTTTGTTGTGTGTCTGCCTGGCTTTGGTATCAGGATGATGCTGGCCACATAAAATTAGTTAAGGAGGATTCCCTCTTTTTCTATTGATTGGAATAGTTTCAGAAGGAATGGTACCAGCTCCTCCTTATACCTGTGATAGAATTCGGCTGTGAATCCGTATGGTCCTGGACTTTTTTGTGGTTGCTAGGCTATTAATTATTGCCTCAATTTCAGAGCCTCTTATTGGTCTATTCAGAGATTCAACTTCTTCCTGGTTTAGTCTTGGGTGGGTGTATGTGTCGAGGAATTTATCCATTTCTTCCAGATTTTCTAGTTGATTTGCATAGAGGTGTTTATAGTATTCTCTGATGGTAGTTTGTATTTCTGTGGGATCGGTGGTGATATCCCCTTTATCATTTTTTATTGCATCTGTTTGATTCTTCTCTCTTTTCTCATTTATTAGTCTTGCTAGTGGTCTATCAATTTTGTTGATCTTTTCAAAAAACCAATTCCTGGATTCATTGATTTTTTGAAGGGTTTTTTGTGTCTCTATCTCCTTCAGTTCTACTCTGATCTTAGTTATCTCTTACCTTCTGCTAGCTTTTGAATGTGTTTGCTCTTGTTTCTCTGGTTCTTTTAATTGTGATGTTAGGGTGTCAATTTTAGATCTTTCCTGCTTTCTCTTGTAGGCATTTAGCGCTAAAATTTCCCTCTACACACTGCTTTAAATGTGTCCCAGAGCTTCTGGTATGTTGTGTCTTTGTTCTCGTTGGTTTCAAAGAACATCTTTATTTCTGCCTTGATTTCGTTATGTACCCAGTAGTCATTCAGGAGCAGGTTGTTCAGTTTCCATGTAGTGGAGCAGTTTTGAGTGAGTTTCTTAATCCTGAGTTCTAGTTTGATTGCATTGTGGTCTGAGAGATAGTTTGTTAAAATTTCTGTTCTTTTACATTTGCTGAGGAGTGCTTTACTTCCAACTATGTGGTCAATTTTGGAATAGGTTTGGTGTGGTGTTGAAAAGAAAGTATATTCTGTCTATTTGGGGTGGAGAGTTCTGTAGATGTCTATTAGGTCCACTTGGTGCAGAGCTGAGTTCAATTTCTGGATATCCTTGTAAACTTTCTGTCTCGTTGATCTGTCTAATGTTGTCAGTGGGGTGTTAAAGTCTCCCATTATTATTGTATGGGAGTCTAAGTCTCTTTGTAGGTCTCTAAGGACTTGCTTTATGAATCTGGGCGCTCCTGTATTGGGTGCATATATATTTAGGACAGTTAGCTCTTCTTGTTGAATTGATCCCTTTACCATTATATAATGGCCTTCTTTGTCTCTTTTGATCTTTGTTGGTTTAAAGTCTGTTTCATCAGAGACTAGGATTGCAACCCCTGCCTTTTTTTGTTTTCCATTTGCTTGGTAGATCTTCCTCCATCCCTTTATTTTGAGCCTATGTGTGTCTCTGCACGTGAGATGGGTCTCCTGAATACAGCACACTGATGGTTCTTGACTCTTTATCCAATTTGCCAGTCTGTGTCTTTTAATTGGAGCATTTAGCCCATTTACATTTAAGGTTAATATTGTTATGTGTGAATTTGATCCTGTCATTATGATGTTAGCTGGTTATTTTGCTTGTTACTTGATGCAGTTTCTTCCTAGCCTCGATGGTCTTTACAATTTGGCATGTTTTTGCAGTGGCTGGTACTGGTTGTTCCTTTCCAGGTTTAGTGCTTTCTTCAGGAGCTCTTTTAGGGCAGGCCTGGTGGTGACAAAATCTCTCAGCATTTGCTTGTCTGTAAAGTATATTCTTAATAATCCTAGAAACAGAGGAAATTGTGGGGCAAGGAATAGTGACTCAGCAGCTCAAAGGGGAGGGACAAGAATTTCAACCAAGCTGTCAGGCTCCAAAGTCTACCTGTGTAACCAAATTTTGTGAAACCCATGGCTGATTTGTAAACAAAAAGTTTAACAAAGTGTATTTTCAGCTAACTGAGTATAAATGTGTCTTCGGATACAATCCCTTCACCATCTATCAGGCCAAGTTCAGCAAACATTGAATTAATCATTACCTTTCTCCTGATGCAGAAGCTGCCTTAGTGTGAATATTCATTGAACATGGGTAACATAAATAGTAAACAAAATACAGTTGTCATTGATGTTATTTATTCTTAATTGAGTTGACTAAAAACGCAGATGTCAATTCTGCATGTTGGGGGTGTTCAATTAAAATAGCATACAATGGCCAGGCACGGTGGTTCACGTCTGTAATCCCAGGCCTTTGGGAGGCCAAGGCGGGCGGGTCATGAGGTCAGGAGATCGAGACCATCCTGGCTAACACGGTGAAACTCCATCTCTACTAGAAATACAATAAATTAGCCGGGCGTGGTTGCAGGTGCCTGTAGTCCCAGCTACTCGGGAGGCTGAGGCAGGAGAATGGCGTGAACCCGGGAGGTGGAGCTTGCAGTAAGTGGAAATCCCGCCACTGCACTGTAGGCTGGGCAACAGAGCAAGACTCCGTCTCAAAAAAAATAAAATAAAATAAAATAAAAATAAACAAATAAATAGCATAAAATGACTCTGAGACCCTTGAAAACAATTTTCAGAGTTTCTTAGCCCCTGTTAATATTCTACTTAGTCCGCAAAATTGCCTTGACTTTTTTTTGACGTTTTCAACTACTTTTATTAGACTAAGAAAGGCTAATATGACTGTGGCTTGCATACCCAGAAGTCTGTACCACAAAAATGATTTCTAATGGGTAACAAATTATAATGAATTTTAACAGAAGGAGTTGACCTCATATAATGCAATCAGAGGGGCACATCATCTCTGTGATATTCTTTCCCCAAATCTTATAACCCCAAGCTAATCATGAGAAAACAGCAGACCAGCCCAAACTGAGTAAAATTCTACAAAATACTGGACCCTAAACTCTCTGAAAGTATCAAGGTCATGAAAGATATGGAA
Organism: Homo sapiens; assembly: GCF_000001405.40. Classification (NCBI taxonomy): domain Eukaryota; kingdom Metazoa; phylum Chordata; class Mammalia; order Primates; family Hominidae; genus Homo; species Homo sapiens. Next base: position 113,755,429 of record NC_000007.14, on the reverse strand, counting down.
GGACGGATAAATTATCACAGATTACAGGAGACTAAGGAAATATCATGACTGAATAGAATGAGATAACCTGGAGTAGATCTGGGAACATAAAAAGGACATCAGTGGAAAAATATACAATATCTGAATAAAGTCTGTAGTTTAGTTAATGGTTTTATAATAGTGTATAGTCTATAATTTAGGTAATATTCATTTAATTGTTTTGATAAATGTGCATGGTTATGTGAGGTGGCAACAATAGGGGAAGCTGGATGAAGGTTTAGCAATACTATCTTTGTAACATTTCTGTAAATCTCATTATTTAAAAAGAAATGTTGAAATGGGTATATATATATACACATATATATATGTGTATATATATATCTCCCCACCATCCCTCTCCCACCAAAAGGAGAGGTTAAGGCAGTCTTTACATGAAGGAGCAAAATGACTTCTATGACTTGACTCAAACATAGTGGTAGGTATTAAAGTAATCCCTGTTACAGTGGTTAAGATGACCCTTCCCTTGTCATATGATCAAAAGTCAGCATTGGCTGCCTTATGTGTTTGGCTCAGACAATTCATTTGATGATCTGATTTATTGCCTAGCTTATTATGGAAATCATATAGGCATGGTCAGAGTGTACATGTCACTAGTACAGGGTTCTAATGATTGATTTAAGTCCGCACACATATAATTGTGTATGACTCAGTAAAGCAGGTTGCTCTGAGAAATAAACTTAGGGAATGCATTTTATGTGCTGTTCCTATTGGTGCTTCATTTGAATGACAATGATTTAATTATTTTGTTGTTGTTGTTCTTAGAGATCTAATAGTACTACTTTGGATCCTCCATAAAGTAGCTGTAAAATCAGATATATCCGTTTGTATGATTTACACATGGGTAATACCAAAATACATAACTATGTTTTTTCTTTTTTCAACAAGTCACCACTGAACTGCATACTTGCGCTAAATTACCTTAACTTCCTTCCACTCCCATCCCTGCCCTATCCATATCTATCTTCTTTCAAGAAATCATTTGGTAAGAATAAACTATTAATACAATCTTCATCTTTGATTTTGATTTTATTTTTTGTTTTCCTTATATGTATTTTCTTGTTCTAAAATAAATAAAAACATTGCCTAATCACTTAATAGCTAAAAAAAATACAATGTTAAACATTTATTGTAAGGGAATGATGATTCAATTTCCAAATCCCATCAACTTCTCATTTCTGAAATGTTGTCGCTGAGAGGCTGTTTCCTGCATTATTGTTAAGTGACCCTTTTTGCTTCGTGCTTAGTCACAATTTACATCTCTTTTCTGAAAATGGCATAAAATAATGTGGAAATGCTTTAATGTATTTCCAAGAAAAATATTTTCTTTTAATGACTCCTAATGAACCCCTGTTTTATGCAGGGTGTGAAAAGTTGCCAAGATGTGTAAAACAATTAGGATGACAAAAAGCATGAGTTTTAAAAAGCCATTTCACTTGTGTAGTGTGTGTGAAAATCCAGAATAATTCCTAAGGGAAAAATTAATTTTAATAAGCTTTTCTTCTTCCTTAAAGACTGTTTAAATCAAAGGCACAGAGTCCTATGTATTAATATATCAGGAATAATGTGAGAGTTTGATCCTGCAGAAAAAAATTCTATTTCATCATCAACCTGTTACTCTATACTTGAACTATGGGACAAATTTTTTTTATTAAAGTAACTATGTGTTTTGCCTCCTAGAAGCACAATATCAGGTACAAAGCTAAAAAGGTGAAATCTTAATCTTTTTTGGTGTGAATTTATTTATTAGAGAACATTGTTTCTGCTATAAGCCTAATGATAGTTAAAATCTATTCTTTGGAAATTTTACCTTCATTGATTAAGGGATGGTCACATTTTAAAAGGATTTTGATTTTAAGCCTTTAAATATAAATAAAATATCCTGTACCAACTTAATGACCCAATTCCAGGTAAATGTTATTGATTTAAAAAGTTAAAAATATTTCAGAAGGTGTAATACATTAATTTTTCAGGAAATGGTTATTTGTGAATCCAATCATAGCCAAGAGGAAATTTTCATGATTTTAAATAGTTAAATGCCAAGGATATAATACAGCATCTAAGGTGGAAGGGTCTGCATGAAGATTTATAGAATACTTGTTTTTACTGGATACATCATTTCTAACAGGCTTCCTCTTTATCTTTTCTTCTACATTTAACTTCCAAAAGTACCAAATGATGAATGCAATTTTCACAATGAATTGCTGAATGTGAAACATTTGAGGCAGAATAGAAGAGAGTGTTTCAATAATATTACAGTTATTGAAATCTGGTGCAGAATGGGAGAATAGACTTGTCATTAAGAATTTATGCTTTAATGTGGGGCTTAATACCTAAGTGATGGATTGATAGGTGCAGCAAACTACCATGGCACACGTTTACCTGTGTAACAAACCTGCATGTCTTGCACATGTATCCCGGAACTTAAAATATAATTAAAAAGAAAAAGAAAAGAATTTATGCTTTAGAATCAGACTTATGTGGGTTATAATCCTGACTCAGCCATTTATTAATCGTGGACTTTTGCTAAATAACTTATCCTCACTTTCATCAACTCTAGATGTGGAATAATTATAAATAGTCCCTACTTCATTGGATCCTTTTGTGATTACATGATATACTTTGGCAGTTAGTTAAAACTGTGTCTTTATAGTGGCTATGAAATGGTTAAGTCTCAAGAGCTTAAGAGGCTGGATGATGGGGATTTTCGTGTTGTTATATAATGAGAAAAGCACCATAGCAGTCATGAAATGAGGAAATCTGGTCTCCTCTTGGGTCTCAAATAGAATGCTCTCATCCTACCAGAAGTCATACCATACAGTTCTTGCCAGTGTGGCAGGGCTCTGGAGTGAAAACAGGATAGTGTTACCCTCAGCAGCAGGTAGGGGTGGGGAGGTGTGTTGTGAGGAGGAAATGCCTGGAATGGGACATGAAGGGCTACTGAAACTCTCCTGATGTTCTGCTTCTTAATCCTGATGATGGTTACCTAAGTGTGCTCACATTGTGAAAATTCATTGAGCTGCACACTTATAATTGGTGCACTTTTCTGTGTGTATGCTACACTTCAGTAAAAAGTTTACGGTTTGTGCTCCACAACTATCCATTCTCCTTGCACGCTTTGCTCTTCCATTCTTGTCACACTTTATTTACCATCTATTTTCCCCACTAGAATAAACATTCTACATAATCTATAGAGATTTTTTTGTTTGTTATGTTCACTATTGTAGTTCCAGCACCTGAAAAAAAAATCTCTGGCATATAGTAGGAACCTAAAACATAGGTATAAATAAATTAATGAATAAATAAATAAATAAGAAAAACCACTGACTACAGGTTGAATGATGTTATAGAGAAAAAGAAAAAGATATAAAGCAGATATTCAAGGTAAGAGCATTGGTTTAACATTAATTGATGGAGAATTAAGAGATGTGTTTGCATAGCTACTTAACAATGTTTTGGTCTAAATATTATTTTTTTCATTCATTCACCTAAAAGAAGAAAGAGGATTTTATGTGATGGACAAATCCGTATACTGAATATAACTTAGTAAATGGAAAAACATTCTTTTAAGGACAAGTTTTGGCAGTTGTGGGTAGCACACTTGCTTAAGATTAACTTCTGCTCCTGCAAACAGTTGCCCAAATGCACATGACATGTTTCTGGTCAGTTTCAATTTCTAGCCAATTAGGTCACAGGGCAAGACCTAGATTGAAAAACAGAATATTAGGATCAAGTGTTTTTAGGCCTCTTTAATATAGCTGAACCCCCTTGCTTAATGAAAGTATTTAAACATTTTAATCACTTATCATCAAGCCTAAAATTTCCAAATTGTTTTGGTGTTTAAATATTGAAAATTCTTATGCATGTGACCTGATAAATCATGGATCTATGGGCAATCACAAGAGAGGAGAAAGCATGGAAAAATGGAGATTAAATATGGGATGTGTCAAGATAATGAGAGCATAATGGTCAAATATGAACAGAGAGGACACATAAGAAAATGAATATCCACTTAATAAAGTGAACATGATGAATTTCTTTACTTTGGCTTGTTTTCTTTTTGAGAAATTACTTTATCAAAAAACTTCCTTAGTAATTAACATTAATAATTACATATTATATAATATTCAAGACAAATCCACTGAAAATATAAATGAAAATGTTTTATTAATAAATTTGAAAATATAAAGAATATCATTATAATATAGTCCTTTATTATATTCTAAAGTAGCCAAAAAGTAACATTTAGAAGTACCTCCTAGAAGGCAGAGACTATACTAATTGCCTGCATGCACTTATTATTTTATAATTTTATAGCTGTTATTTTATATATCAGTGTTCACCCTTACTGCAACACTATCTGGTAAATTTTATGATATCTATCTGAGAGGAGGAAAGGGGACTCTTGGAGAGTTAATGACCACCCATGGTCACAAAGACTGGAAGTGGCACAAGTAAGATCAATCTGAGACAGATGGTCTGTAATCTTAACTTCCCTTACAATACTGTTCTGAAAGAGAAATCATATACATCAATTCAAAACAATATTACAGAGCTTCAATGTGACCTGGCTCAAAACTTTTTCTTGCATTAAACACACAAGGAAAACACAAGAGCACTTTTAACTAAAAGTGAAGAATTTGAAGTGATGGAGAAAATTAAAAACAAATAACTATATGTATACTCTTATGCTCATAAATTTAAATTGCAATATAATACATGATTTTTGAAAAAAATATGTTATATAAATTATCCAAATTTAATAAAACAGACTTCTGGTTTCCACCAATGCATGCAAGGAGCTTAAGTTCCCACCCTGTCCTAACAACAGTAAAAAGCTGAACAGATTGAGAAATCAACACTCCTCTTGGATCTGTAAGAGAGGTAACTACACAGGGCAAACTACTGCCTACAAGATTGGAGAGACAGACAGGCCAGTATAGGGAGTCATGGCTTCCGGTTGCAGATCCTCATGAGTGGAAACCAGCAGGAACCAGTGCTGTGGTAGGAATATCTGAATTGGAATTGACAAATTGCTGGAGGCTTAGCGTGGAAAAGTCTGAGAATTAAAAACTGCGCTGGACCCAGCCACAGAGGAGCCCCTACAATTTTGTGAGTTTTATCTCAACCAGGAGATCAATCAGGTTCTCATAGGAAAATATTGGAGAAACATCCCCTCATGCTTTAAGCAAGAAGAGGATCTATTTTGAAACACACCAGAGCACTCTGTTGTCTTTTTCCTTTTCGTTTCTTTTTTCTTTTCTTTTCCTTCCTTTCTTAGTTTGTTTCTTTTTTTTTTTTTTTTCCAAGGCCTACCCTCAGGAGAAACTAGTTAACCAGGGCTAATCTGCTGGTATATTATCAGATCCTAACTGATCTGGGGAAAGAAAAATACCCAACGTCAACACATTGTATTCTTTCTGTTTCACCTAAGAGGTTAGAGAAAAATTGAAAAACACTTGTGATTTTCACAGTTCAGAGGCACAAGCTCACTAAAGACTGAGACGCAATCACAGAACTATAGGTATTCCCCCCTGCCCCACCGTGCCTCCACATTACTAAAGACCTATTTACAGCAGTTCCTTTTATCTGGTACATCATGTACAACTAAAAGGAAAAAATACAAGACATACTAAAGGACAAAAAACACAGACTTTTTGTGAGACAGAGCAAGCATGAGAACCATATGTGGCAGGGATGTTGAAATTTTCTAACCAGGAATTTAAAATAACTGTGATTAATATGCTAGGGTTCTAATGGATAAAGTAGACAGCAGGCAAAAACAGATGGGCAATGTAAGGAGAAGAAATTCTAAGAAAGCACCAAGAAGAAATTCTAGAGATCAAAATCATGTAACAGAAATGAAGAATGCCTTTGATGGGCTTATTAGTAGCATGATTGCACAGAGTTGAGGAAAGACTCTCTGAACTTGGGGATGTATCGATAACAACCTTCAAAACTGAAAAGGCAAGAGAACACAGACTGAAAAAGCCAGAATAGAATAGCCAAGGGCTGTAGGGCAACTGTAAAAGCAATAATATATACATAATAGGAATTAGCAGCAGGATAAGAAAGAGAGACAGGAACAGAAGAAATATTTGAAGTAATACTGACTGAAAAATTCTCCAAATTAATGTCATACATGAAACCACAAATGTAGGAGGCTCAGAGAACACCAGGCAGGATAAATGCCAAAAAGACAACATCTAGACATACCATTTTCAAACTACACAAAATCAAAGATAAAGAAAATCCTGAAAAAAAAAAGCCAGAGGAAATAAACACTTTACCTATAGAGGAGCAAAGGTAGGTATTACATCGAACTTCTCAGAAACCATGCAAGCAAGAAAAAAGTAGAGTGAAATATTTAAAGCGTTGAGCAAAAAAACCCACCAACCTAGAATTTTGTACCCTGAAATTTTCTTTTTCTTTTTTTTTCTTCAAAATTTGCTTAACTTTTATTATTATTATTATTATTATTATTATTTTATTAAAGTTTTAGGGTACATGTGCACATTGTGCAGGTTAGTTACATATGTATACATATGCCATGCTGGTGCGCTGTACCCACCAACTCGTCATCTAGCATTAGGTATATCTCCCAATGCTATCCCTCCCCCCACGCCCCACCCCACAACTGTCCCCAGAGTGTGATATTCCCCTTCCTGTGTCCATGTGATTTCATTGTTCAATTCCCACCTATGACTGAGAATATATGGTGTTTGGTTTTTTGTTCTTGCGATAGTTTACTGAGAATGATGACTTCCAATTTCATCCATGTCCCTACAAAGGACGTGAACTCATCCTTTTTTATGGCTGCATAGTATTCCATGGTGTATATGTGCCACATTTTCTTAATCCAGTCTATCATTGTTGGACATTTGGGTTGGTTCCAAGTCTTCGGTATTGTGAATAATGCCGCAATAAACATACATGTGCATGTGTCTTTATAGCAGCATGATTTATAGTCCTTTGGGTACATTCCCAGTAATGGGATGGCTGGGTCAAATGGTACTTCCAGTTCTAGATCCCTGAGGAATGGCCACACTGATTTCCACAATGGTTGAACTAGTTTACAGTCCCACCAACAGTGTAAAAGTGTTCCTATTTCTCCACATCCTCTCCAGCACCTGTTGTTTCCTGACTTTTTAATGATTGCCGTTCTAACTGGTGTGAGATGGTATCTCATTGTGGTTTTGATTTGCATTTCTCTGATGGCCAGTGATGATGAACATTTTTTCATGTGTTTTTTGGCTGCATAAATGTCTTCTTTTGAGAAGTGTCTATTCATGTCCTTCGCCCACTTTTTGATGGGGTTGTTTGTTTTTTTCTTGTAAATTTGTTTGAGTTCAATGTAGATTCTGGATATTAGCCCTTTGTCAGATGAGTAGGTTGCGAAAATTTTCTCCCATTTTGTAGGTTGCCTGTTCACTCTGATGGTAGTTTCTTTTGCTGTGCAGAAGCTCTTTGGTTTAATTAGATCCCATTGGTCAATTTTGTCTTTTGTTGCCATTGCTTTTGGTGTTTTAGACATGAAGTCCTTGCCCATGCCTATGTCCTGAATGGTAAAGCCTAGGTTTTCTTCTAGGGTTTTTATGGTTTTAGGTCTAACGTTTAAGTCTTTAATCCATCTTCAATTGATTTTTGTATAAGGTGTAAGGAAGGGATCCAGTTTCAGCTTTCTACATATGGCTAGCCAGTTTTCCCAGCACCATTTATTAAACAGGGAATCCTTTCCCCGTTGCTTGTTTTTGTCAGGTTTGTCAAAGATCAGATAGTTTTAGATATGTGGCATTATTTCTCAGGGCTCTGTTCTGTTCCATTGGTCTGTATCTCTGTTTTGGTACCAGTACCATGCTGTTTTGGTTACTGTAGCCTTGTAGTATAGTTTGATGTCAGGTAGCATGATGCCTCCAGCTTTGTTCTTTTGGCTTAGGATTGACTTGGTGATGCGGGCTCTTTTTTGGTTCCATATGAACTTTAAAGTAGTTTTTTCCAATTCTGTGAAGAAAGACATTGGTAGCTTGATGGGGATGGCATTGAATCTGTAAATTACCTTGGGCAGTATGGCCATTTTCATGATATTGATTCTTCCTACCCATGAGCATGGAATGTTCTTCCATTTGTTTGTGTCCTCTTTTATTTCCTTGAGCAGTAGTTTGTAGTTCTCCTTGAAGAGGTCCTTCACATCCCTTTAAGTTGGATTCCTAAGTATTTTATTCTCTTTGAAGCAATTGTGAATGGGAGTTCACTCATGATTTGGCTCTCTGTTTGTCTGTTATTGGTGTGTAAGAATGCTTGTGATTTTTGTACATTGATTTTTTTATCCTGAGACTTTGCTGAAGTTGCTTATCAGCTTAAGGAGATTTTCGGCTGAGATGATGGGGTTTTCTAGATATACAATCATGTCATCTGCAAACAGGGACAATTTGACTTCCTCTTTTCCTAATTGAATACCCTTTATTTCCTTCTCCTGCCTAATTGCCCTGGCCAGAACTTCCAACACTATGTTGAATAGGAGTGGTGAGAGAGGGCATCCCTGTCTTGTGCCAGTTTTCAAAGGGAATGCTTCCAGGTTTTGCCCATTCAGTATGATATTGGCTGTGGGTTTGTCATAGATAGCTCTTATTATTTTGAGATACGTCCCATCAATACCTAATTTATTGAGAGTTTTTAGCATGAAGGGTTGTTGAATTTTGTCAAAGGCCTTTTCTGCATCTATTGAGATAATCATGTGGCTTTTGTCTGTGGCTCTGTTTATATGCTAGATTACATTTATTGATTTGCGTATATTGAACCAGCCTTGCATCCCAGGGATGAAGCCCACTTGATCATGGTGGATAAGCTTTTTGATGTGCTGTGGGATTCAGTTTGCCAGTATTTTATTGAGGATTTTTGCATCAATGTTCATCAAGGATATTGGTCTAAAATTCTCTTTTTTGGTTGTGTCTCTGCCTGGCTTTGGTATCAGAATGATGCTGGCCTCATAAAATGAGTTAGGGAGGATTCCCTCTTTTTCTATTGATTGGAATAGTTTCAGAAGGAATGGTACCAGTTCCTCCTTGTAACTCTGGTAGAATTTGGCTGTGAATCCATCTGGTTCTGGACTCTTTTTGGTTGGTAAGCTATTGATTATTGCCACAATTTCAGATCCTGTTATTGGTCTATTCAGAGATTCAACTTCTTCCTGGTTTAGTCTTGGGAGAGAGTGTACGTGTCGAGGAATTTATCCATTTCTTCTAGATTTTCTAGTTTATTTGTGTAGAGGTGTTTGTAGTATTCTCTGATGGTAGTTTGTATTTCTGTGGGATCGGTGGTGATATCCCCTTTATCATTTTTTATTGCGTCTATTTGATTCTTCTCTCTTTTTTTCTTTATTAGTCTTGCTAGCGGTCTATCAATTTTGTTGATCCTTTCAAAAAACCACCTCCTGGATTCATTAATTTTTTGAAGGGTTTTTTTGTGTCTCTATTTCCTTCAGTTCTGCTCTGATTTTAGTTATTTCTTGCCTTCTGCTAGCTTTTGAATGTGTTTGCTCTTGCTTTTCTAGTTCTTTTAATTGTGATGTTAGGGTGTCAATTTTGGATCTTTCCTGCTTTCTCTTGTTGGAATTTAGTGCTATAAATTTCCCTCTACACACTGCTTTGAATGCGTCCCAGAGATTCTGGTATGTGGGGTCTTTGTTCTCGTTGGCTTCAAAGAACATCTTTATTTCTGCCTTCATTTCATTATGTACCCAGTAGTCATTCAGGAGCAGGTTGTTCAGTTTCCATGTAGTTGAGCAGTTCTGAGTGAGATTCTTAATCCTGAGTTCTAGTTTGATGGCACTGTGGTCTGAGAGATAGTTTGTTATAATTTCTGCTCTTTTACATTTGCTGAGGAGAGCTTTACTTCCAAGTATGTGGTCAATTTTGGAATAAGTGTGGTGTGGTGCTGAAAAAAATGTATATTCTGTTGATTTGGGGTAGAGAGTTCTGTAGATGTCTATTAGGTCCGCTTGGTGCAGAGCTGAGTTCAATTCCTGGGTATCCTTGTTGACTTTCTGTCTCATTGATCTGTCTAATGTTGACAGTGGGGTGTTAAAGTCTCCCATTATTAATGTGTGGGAGTCTAAGTCTCTTTGTAGGTCACTCAGGACTTGCTTTATGTATCTGGGTGCTCCTGTATTGGGTGCATATATATTTAGGATAGTTAGCTCTTCTTGTTGAATTGATCCCTTTACCATTATGTAATGGCCTTCTTTGTCTCTTTTGATCTTTGTTGGTTTAAAGTCTGTTTTATCAGAGACTAGGATTGCAACCCCTGCCTTTTTTTGTTTTCCATTGGCTTGGTAGATCTTCCTCCATCCTTTTATTTTGAGCCTATGTGTGTCTCTGCATGTGAGATGGGTTTCCTGAATACAGCACACTGATGGGTCTTGACTCTTTATCCAATTTGCCAGTCTGTGTCTTTTAATTGGAGCAATTAGTCCATTTACATTTAAAGTTGATATTCTTATGTGTGAATTTGATCCTGTCATTATGATGTTAGCTGGTGATTTTGCTCGTTAGTTGATGCAGTTTCTTCCTAGTCTGGATGGTCTTTAAATTTTGGCATGATTTTGCACCGGCTGGTACCGGTTGTTCCTTTCCATGTTTAGCGCTTCCTTCAGGAGCTCTTGTACGGCAGGCCTGGTGGTGACAAAATCTCTCAGCATTTGCTTATCTGTAAAGTATTTTATTTCTCCTTTGCTTATGAAGCTTAGTTTGGCTGGATATGAAATTCTGGGTTGAAAATTCTTTTCTTTAAGAATGTTGAATATTGGCCCCCACTCTCTTCTGGCTTGTAGGGTTTCTGCCGAGAGATCCGCTGTTAGTCTGATGGGCTTCCCTTTGAGGGTAACCCGACCTTTCTCTCTGGCTGCCCTTAACATTTTTTCCTTCATTTCAACTTTGGTGAATCTGACAATTATGTGTCTTGGAGTTGCTCTTCTAGAGGAGTATCTTTGTGGCGTTCTCTGTATTTCCTGAATCTGAAGGTTGGCCTGCCTTGCTAGATTGGGGAAGTTCTCCTGGATAATATCCTGCAGAGTGTTTTCCAACTTGGTTCCATTCTCCCCATCACTTTCAGGTACACCAATCAGACGTAGATTTGGTCTTTTCACATAGTCCCATATTTCTTGGAGGCTTTGCTCATTTCTTTTTAATCTTTTTTCTCTAAACTTCCCTTCTCGTTTCATTTCATTCATTTCATCTTCCATCGCTGATACCCTTTCTTCCAGTTGATCGCATCGGCTCCTGAGGCTTCTGCATTCTTCACGTAGTTCTTGAGCCTTGGTTTTCAGCTCCATCAGCTCCTTTAAGCACTTCTCTGTATTGGTTATTCTAGTTATACATTCTTCTAAATTTTTTTCAAAGTTTTCAACTTCTTTGCCTTTGGTTTGAATGTCCTCCCATAGCTCAGAGTAATTTGATCCTCTGAAGCCTTCTTCTCTCAGCTCGTCAAAGTCATTCTCCATCCAGCTTTGTTCCATTGCTGTTGAGGAACTGCGTTCCTTTGGAGGAGGAGAGGCGCTCTGCTTTTTAGAGTTTCCAGTTTTTCTGTTCTGTTTTTTCCCCATCTTTGTGGTTTTATCTACTTTTGGTCTTTGATGATGGTGATGTAGAGAGGGGTTTTTGGTGTGGATGTCCTTTCTGTTTGTTAGTTTTCCTTGTAACAGACAGGACCCTCAGCTGCAGGTCTGTTGGAATACCCTGCCGTGTGAGGTGTCACTGTGCCCCTGCTGGGGGGTGCCTCCCAGTTAGGCTGCTAGGGGGTCAGGGGTCAGGGACCCACTTGAGGAGGCAGTCTGCCCGTTCTCAGATCTCCAGCTGTGTGGTGGGAGAACCACTGCTCTCTTCAAAGCTGTCAGACAGGGACATTTAAGTCTGCAGAGGTTACTGCTGTCTTTTTGTTTGTCTGTGCCCTGCCCCCAGAGGTGGAGCGCCTGCCTCTGTGAGCTGTGGTGGGCTCCGCCCAGTTGGAGCTTTCAGGCTGCTTTGTTTACCTAAGAAAGCCTGCGCAATGGCGGGCGCCCCTCCCCCAGCCTCGCTTCCGCCTTGCGGTTTGATCTCAGACTGCTGTGCTAGCAATCAGCGAGACTCCGTGGGCGTAGGACCCTCCGAGCCAGGTGCGGGATATAATCTCGTGGTTCGCCATTTTTCAAGCCCGTCAGAAAAGCGCAGTATTCGGGTGGGAGCGACCCGATTTTCCAGGTGCCGTCCGTCACCCCTTTCTTTGACTCGGAAAGGGAACTCCCTGACCCCTTGCGCTTCCCAAGTGAGGCAATGCCTCACCCTACTTCGGCTCGCGCACGGTGTGCGCACCCACTGATCTGCGCCCACTGTCTGGCACTCCCTAGTGAGGTGAACCCGGTACCTCAGATGGAAATGCAGAAATCACCATCTTCTGCGTCGCTCACGCTGGGAGCTGTAGACTGGAGCTTTTCCTATTCGGCCATCTTGGCTCCTTCTCCGAAATTTTATTTTTCAAAGTGACAGAGAAATGAAGACTTTCTCAGACAAACAAAAATTGAGGGATTTTGTTGCCAGTAGACATGTCGTATAAAATGGTTAAAGTTCTTCAGAGGGAAGGAAAGTGATATCGATAAAAAACTCAGATCTATATAAACAGAGAATGAACATTGGAAAAGGAATAAATGAAGGTAAAACAAAATATTTGATTTTTCTTATTCTTAATTGATCTGGCAGATAACAATTTTCTTGAAATAGTAACAATGTATGTGCTTATGTATGCCCATATATATGACTTGTGTGTGTGTGTATATGTGTGTGTGTGTGTGTGCTGCTTATGAATGCCTATATACAAGTCAAATAGATGGACAGCAAAGATATAAGGGATGGTAGGGAGGAATTAGAATTATTTTTTATTAACAGCTACTTACACTACCTATTAAGAGGTATAGTGATATATTTAATGTGAACATGGGTTAGCTGTAAATGTATTGCAAACTCTCGGGCAATCAGTAAAAAGATAAAGTATAACTGATAGATAAAAAGAAGAAAAAATGGAATCACAAAATGCTCAATTGAAACCTCAGGAAGCAGAAAAAGAGCAGAGGACCCAAACAGAAACAAAGAACAAGGGAAGCAAATAGAAAACAGTAAAAAATATGATACATATTAATCCAACTACATCAAGAATTGCTTTGAACATCAGTATTCTAAATGTGCCAGTTAAAAGACAGATTTTTCAGAGTGGACCAAAAAATATAACCCAAATGTATGTGTATTAGTCCATTTTCACACTGCTATAAAGAACTTCCCTGAGACTGAGTAATTTATAAAGGAAAGAGGTTTAATTGACTCACAGTTCCACATGGCTGGGAAGGCCTCAGGAAAATTACAGTCATGGTGGAAGGGGAAGCAGTTACCTTTTTTTTTATTATTATTATTATTATTATACTTTTAGGGTACATGTGCACAATGTGCAGGTTAGTTACATATGTGTACATGTGCCATGCTGGTGTGCTGCACCCATGAACTCGTCATTTAGCATTAGGTATATCTCCTAATGCTATCCCTACCCCCTACCCCCACCCCACAACAGTCCCCAGAGTGTGATGTTCCCCTTCCTGTGTCCATGTGTTCTCATTGTACAATTCCCACCTATGAGTGAGAACATGCGGTGTTTGGTTTTTTGTCCTTGCGATAGTTTACTGAGAATGATGATTTCCAATTTCATCCACGTCCCTAAAAAGGACATGAACTCATCATTTTTTATGGCTACATAGTATTCCATGGTGTATATGTGCCACATTTTCTTAATCCAGTCTATCATTGTTGGACATTTGGATTGGTTCCAAGTCTTTGCTATTGTGAATAGTGCCGCAATAAACATACGTGTGCATGTGTCTTTATAGCAGCATGATTTATAGTCTTTTGGGTATATACCCAGTAATGGGATGGCTGGGTCAAATGGTATTTCTAGTTCTAGATCCCTGAGGAATCACCACACTGACTTCCACAATGGTTGAACTAGTTTACAGTCCCACCAACAGTGTAAAAGGGTTCCTATTTCTCCACATCCTCTCCAGCACCTGTTGTTTCCTGACTTTTTAATGATTGCCATTCTAACTGGTGTGAGATGGTATCTCATTGTGGTTTTGATTTGCATTTCTCTGATGGCCAGTGATGGTGAGCATTTTTTCATGTGTTTTTTGGCTGCATAAATGTCTTCTTTTGAGAAGTGTTGTTCATGTCCTTCGCCCACTTTTTGATGGGGTTGTTTGTTTTTTTGTTGTAAATTTGTTTGAGTTCATTGTAGATTCTGGATATTAGCCCTTTGTCAGATGAGTAGGTTGCAAAAATTTTCTCCCATTTTGAGGGTTGCCTGTTCACTCTGATGGTAGTTTCTTTTGCTGTGCAGAAGCTCTTTAGTTTAATTAGATCCCATTTGTCAATTTTGTCTTTTGTTGCCATTGCTTTTGGTGTTTTAGACATGAAGTCCTTGCCCATGCCTATGTCCTGAATGGTAAAGCCTAGGTTTTCCTCTAGGGTTTTTATGGTTTTAGGTCTAACGTTTCAGTCTTTAATCCGTAAAGCTCTCCTCAGCAAATGTAAAAGAACAGAAATTATAACAAACTGTCTCTCAGACCACAGTGCAATCAAACTAGAACTCAGGATTAAGAAACTAACTCAAAACCACTCTACTACATGGAAACTGAACAACCTGCTCCTGAATGACTACTGGGTACATAACGAAATGAAGGCAGAAATAAAGATGTTCTTTGAAACCAACGAGAACAAACACACAACATACCAGAATCTCTGGGACACATTCAAAGCAGTGTGTAGAGGGAAATTTATAGCACTAAATGCCCACAAGAGAAAGCAGGAAAGATCCAAAATTGACACCCTAACATCACAGTTAAAAGAACTAGAAAAGCAAGAACAAACACATTCAAAAGCTACCAGAAGGCAAGAAATAACTAAAATCAGAGCAGAACTGAAGGAAATAGAGACACAAAAAAACCCTTCAAAAAATTAATGAATCCAGGAGGTGGTTTTTTGAAAGGATCAACAAAATTGATAGACTGCTAGCAAGATTAATAAAGAAAAAAAGAGAGAAGAATCAAATACATGCAATAAAAAATGATAAAGAGGATATCACCACCGATCCCACAGAAATAAACTACCATCAGAGAATACTACAAACACCTCTATGCAAATAAACTAGAAAATCTAGAAGAAATGGATAAATTCCTCGACACATACACTCTCCCAAGACTAAACCAGGAAGAAGTTGAATCTCTGAATAGACCAATAACAGGATCTGAAATTGTGGCAATAATCAATAGCTTAGCAACAAAAGGGGTCCAGGACCAGATGGATTCACAGCCGAATTCTACCAGAGTTACAAGGAGGAACTGGTACCATTCCTTCTGAAACTATTCCAATCAATAGAAAAAGAGGGAATCCTCCCTAACTCATTTTATGAGGCCAGCATCATCCTGATACCAAAGCCGGGCAGAGACACAACCAAAAAAGAGAGTTTTAGACCAATATCCCTGATGAACATTGATGCAAAAATCCTCAATAAAATACTGGCAAACCGAATCCCGCAGCACATCAAAAAGCTTATCCACCATGATCAAGTGGGCTTCATCCCTGGGATGCAAGGCTGTTTCAATATATGCAAATCAGTAAATGTAGTCCAGCATATAAACAGAATCAAAGACAAAAACCACATGATTATCTCAAAAGATGCAGAAAAGGCCTTTGACAAAATTCAACAATGCTTCATGCTAAAAACTCTCAATAAATTAGGTATTGATGGGACATATCTCAAAATAATGAGAGCTACCTATGACAAACCCACAGCCAATATCATACTGAATGGGCAAAAACTGGAAGCATTCCCTTTGAAAAGTGGCACAAGACAGGGATGCCCTCTCTCACCACTCCTATTCAACATAGTGTTGGAAGTTCTGGCCAGGGCAATTAGGCAGGAGAAGAAAATAAAGGGTATTCAATTAGGAAAAGAGGAAGTCAAATTGTCCCTGTTTGCAGATGACATGATTGTATATCTAGAAAACCCCATCATCTCAGCCGAAAATCTCCTTAAGCTGATAAGCAACTTCAGCAAAGTCTCAGGATAAAAAGTCAATGTACAAAATTCACAAGCATTCTTACACACCAATAACAGACAAACAGAGAGCCAAATCATGAGTGAACTCCCATTCACAATTGCTTCAAAGAGAATAAAATACCTAGGAATCCAACTTACAAGGGACATGAAGGACCTCTTCAAGGAGAACAACAAACCACTGCTCAATGAAATAAAAGAGGATACAAACAAATGGAAGAACACTCCATGCTCATGGGTAGGAAGAATCAATATCATGAAAATGGCCATACTGCCCAAGGTAATTTACAGATTCAATGCCATCCCCATCAAGCTACCAATGTTTTTCTTCACAGAATTGGAAAAAACTACTTTAAAGTTCATATGGAACCAAAAAAGAGCCCGCATCACCAAGTCAATCCTAAGCCAAAAGAACAAAGCTGGAGGCATCACACTACCTGACTTCAAACTATACTACAAGGCTACAGTAACCAAAACAGCATGGTACTGGTACCAAAACAGAGATATAGATCAATGGAACAGAACAGAGCCCTCAGAAATAATGCCGCATATCTACAACTATCTGATCTTTGACAAACCTGAGAAAAACAAGCAATGGGGAAAGGATTCCCTATTTAATAAATGGTGCTGGGAAAACTGGCTGGCCATATGTAGAAAGCTGAAACTGGATCCCTTCCTTACACCTTATGCAGGTACCTTCTTCACAAGGCAGCAGGAGAGAGAGTTTGTGAAAGAGGAACTGTCAAACACTTGCAAAACCATCACATCTCATAAGATCTCACTCACTAGCAGAGAATGGCATGGTTAAATCACCCTCATGATCCAAGAGTCTCCCTCCCCTCAATACGTGGGGATTACAATTCAAGATGAGATTTGGATAGGGACACAGAGCCAAACTGTATCAGTATGTCATATACAAAATTGGATAAAGAATTCAAAGTCAGTAACTGTGGGAAAAATGTAAAGTATCAAAGAATGCACTGATATTAATATAGTTTGAATTTAAATTTTGCTGCACTATATATTTTGTTTTAATTATGTTTAGATGACTTAGTAGACAGGTGTATCAGGAGTCATAATCATTAGCCTATGGGAAAAATCTGACTCATTGCCTGTATTTATAAATAAGATTTTATTTTAACATAGTCATGCTCACTCATTTATGAAGTTCCCCTGCAGCTTTTGTGCTACAATGGTAGAATTGGACAGCTTCAACAGAGACCATGTAGCCTATAAAGCCTATAATATTTCCTATCTGTCTTTTTAGAGAAAAGTTTTCTTGGCCTCTGAGCCATATCATTTACAGGTAATACTAAAATATCAGCATGATATATAATAAAATATAAGATAAAAAATACGAATGACGCTAATGTTTAGCAATTGGGGAATTTCAAATAATATGGTAAATCTGAACAATGAAAATTGACATAGTTGTTAAAATAATGTTTCCCAGAAACTGTTTATGTTATATATCTAAAAATCTAAGTGAAAAAAAAGGATACAAAACTATACCAGTCATTTTCAGTGGAGAGGTGGTAGAGAACTGCTTTAAGGCAAAAAGTTATATTAGGGGAAACATAGCCAATGCATAATTTTAAAGTCTTTTGTACTGTTCATACAGTAACATAGTTGTAAAACTTATAAATAAAAACCAAAATAATTACAAAAAGCAAATCACTAGCATAATGGGAAAATTTAACATGTTTCTGTCTGTAACCATTAAATTAACAGAATAAAATTATGCAACAGATTTCAGCAACAAAATTAGCAAGTGTAATACAGTAGACATACACAGAACCATGGATCCAACAATCAGAAAGCACAACTTTTTTCCTAAGCAAAAATGTTACACTTATAAAAATTGATCATATAATATGCAATAAATGAATTTCATTAAATTAATAATTGTAAGAATAGCTAAAATAGTAGTAAAATTTACTGGGCACTTCCTATATCCAGCCTATTTTCTAAAAGTTTACATTCAAGACCCTCACACTAATCTTATGTTGTAGATCCTAAAATTGTCATTTTCTTTACATTATACAATTGAGGTAGAAAGCTTAAGAAACTAACCCAAGATTAATTCTGACAGGCAATCAAGTAGCGTATCTGACATTTGGACCTAATTTGACTCTAGACTTTATGCTGTTTACCACCTATCACCTAAATAGTTATATCAGCACTGTTAATACAATTATAATGGTTGTTAAAAATCTAAATAGAGGAATTCAGCTTCTGGGAGGAAAAAGGAGATATACGTTTCCTTTTTTCTCGGGCTAAGTACAGCTAAAGATCCTGGACATTACACATCAAATAAACAAAACACTCTTAAAGGTAGAGAAAAGAGGGCAAGTCAGCTAGAGACTTTGGGACCCAAGTCAAGACAAAGTGGTGAGTTCTTCATGTTTTAGTTTTACTTCATATATCCAAGATTTGGTGCTGAAGAAGCAGACTTGGAACATCAGAAAAAGCAAAAAAACACTGTAAGCAAAAATATTGGTCAACACAATAGACTATCATTTTCCTCTTGGGCTTTCTAAATTGATTATTGAAGCAAAAATTTTAATAAAACTATAATGTGTGGTTCTAAATATATAGAAGAAATATATAATACAATTATATTATTGAACAGAATAAAGAGATGTAGAGGGAAGTAAGATTTCTACACTTCACTCAGTCTGATAAAATGAGGACACTAGTAGTCTGTGATTATGTATAACTTATCTATATGTATCTCTATGTCTATCTACCAATACCTACAATAACCACTAAAAAAACCTATGCGAAGATACACACCCCAAAACACTATAAATGAATCAGAATGGAATCTAATAAAATGTATAAACAATCCGCAGGAAGACAGGAAAAAGAAAACAGAAAACAACAACAACATAAACCCAAATAAAAATAGCCAACAATGCATTCATTAGAAAAGGAAAAATGTTTCAAACCAATGAACTGAATTTTCACCTCAAGACTCGAGAAAAACAAGAGCAAAATGAACCCCAAACAGATGGAAAAGAATAAAATGAAGAGCAGGAATCAATGACATTGAAAATAGAAAAACAACAGGGAATATCAATGAAATAAAAAAGTCTTGCTATTTAAAAAGATTGATAAAACTGACAAAACTCTTGGAAGAAGAGTGAAAAAGAAAGAAGACACAAAATGCCAATATCAGAAAAGAAATAGGGAGTATCACTACAGATACTGAAGACATTAAAAGTTTAATAAGAGAGTACCAAAAACAACTCTACATACATAAATTTGACAATTTAGATAAAATGACTAATTCTTCAAAAATCATAAGCTACCACAATTCATTCAATTTGAAATAGATAATTTGAATAGCATTGTAAATACTAAGGAAATAGAATTTGTTATTAAAATACTCTCTTGAAAGAAATCTCCAAGCCCAGATTGGAGTTCTCCAGAGTAAAGAATTCTTCTAAATTTTAAAGAATCAGTAACAACCACGTACAATTTCTTCCAGAAAACAGAGGAGGAAGAAACAATTCCCAATTCATTTCAGGAAGCTAGAATTACCCTGACATCAAACCAAACATAGTACATTAGAAGAAATATAGGCCAATATATCTCGAAAGTTATACAAGTAAAAATTCTCAAGAAGTACTAGCAAATGGGATTTAGCAATATCTAAAAATGATAACCTTGACCAAGAGGAGTTTACTGAGAGGATGCAAAACTGGTTTAATGTTAAAAAATTAATCAATGTAATCCATGTTAAGAAACTAAAAGAAGAAAACTACCGTAACCGTATCAACACATGCAGAAAAACCATTTGACCAAAGCCAACATCCATTCATGATAAAAACTCTCAGGAAGTTAGAACTAGAGGGGAACTTCAACTTGATAAAGAGCATCTACGAAAAACCTTCAGCTAACATTGTATTTAATAGTGAAAGACTCTTTCCTCCAAAGGTAGACAATCAAGCAAGGATGTTCCCTCCCGTTACTATTATTCAACATAGTGGTAGAATTTCTGTGCATTAAGGCAAGAAAAGCAAATAAAAGTCGCACAGATTAGAAAGGAAGATATAAAATAGTTCCTATTTTCAGATGACATAATTAAAATCATGTAGAAAATCCCAAGGAATCTAGAAAATCACTAGACAAACAATTCATAAAAACAAAAACAAAACAACAACAAAAACCTGAGTTCATCAAGTTCAGCAAAGGATGTAAGATAGCATACAAAAATCAATTATATTTTCACTACTTGCAATGAACATGTGAACACCAAAATTTATAATATAATACCACTTACAATTGCTCAAAAAATGAAATAGGTATAAAACTAAAACTAACAAAATATATTTAGGATTGTATGCTGAAAACTACACAACACTGATGAAAATTTAAGTAAAGATATAAATAAATGGAGAGCTATACCATGTTTATGGATTGGAAGACTCCACACCGTAATGATGTCAATTCTCCCCAAATTGATATTTATGTTTAATGCAATTCTTATAAAAATCCCAGCAAGATTTTTTGTGTAAATATAGACGAGATTATTCTAAAATTATTATGCAAAGGCAAATGAATTAGCTAAAGCAATTTTGAAAAATAGAATAAAGTGGGAGTATTTCAATGCTTACATAGCTATAGCAAACAAGATTGTGTGGTATTGGTGAAGGAAGAAACACATGAATCAATGCAATGGAACAGAGAATCCAAAACTAGACCTATACAAATATGCTCAACTTATTTTTGACAAAAGTGCAAAAGCTATTCAATGAAGAAAAGATACTTTTTTCAAAAAATGGTGCCATAGCAATTTGCAATGCAATCCTGACACTACCCAAATTCAGGTCAAATCAAAGAGATAGTGTCACAGTCCTCCACAAAACTCCCCTCACTTCAGATATCAGCAACAAAATCCAGGGCTCCTAGGCTACCTGCAATTCTGACCAAATGGCTGCAAATCCATTCAGGGGTGCCCATTAACTCCTCAGGTTTGGTAATTTGCTAGAACAAATCACAGAACTCAGGCAAGTGCAATATTTTTATTAGAGTTTTATTCTAAAGGATATAAATCAGGACAAGTCAAATAAAGAGACAAATAGGGCAAGGTTTAGGAGAGTCCCATATGTGAAGCTTCAGTGCCCTTGGGATGTCACTCCTCCTGGCACATGGATGTGTATCACCAACCACGGTGCTCATGGAGCTTTGGGTGTCTAGAGTTTTTCCTCAATAATTGATTGATGAATCAATTGATTCATGATTGATTGAATCATTGACCACATGATTGAAGTCAATCTCCAGTCCCCCTCCTTCCTTGGAGTTTGAAAGGACAGACTAGTATCACATCGCTCAAAGCCTCAATTCCCTAATTGCAGATTGGTATTTCCAGCATGATCAGTTTTCATTCTGAAACTATCTAGGAGCCCACGAGTCACCTTACTAGCATAAACTATTAGGGCCCACCATGAATAACAGACTCTTATCATTCTGAAAATTCTGAATGTTTAGAGAGCACCTTTCAGAAACCAGGGACAAAGCTAGCCAAATTCCTTATTATACAATACAATATATATTAGAAATACATAGGTAAAAAAATGAACTGCAACATAAGTCTCACTTGCTTATACAAACATTAATTCAAAATAGATTACAGACAAATGTAAATTGTAGCACTATACAATTTTGAGGAAAAAAATGTGAGAAAAATATTTGAGATATATGGCTAGGCTGTGAGTTCTTAGACTTGACACCAAAAGCACCAATCATTAAAGAAAAAACTGATAAATTTGGCTTCATTAAATAAAAATGTTTACTCTGCAAAAGAACCTGTTAAAAGAACAGAATGACAAGTTACAGGTGGACAAGAATATTTTAAAACTACATGCATATTCTGCAAAGGACTTATATCTAGAATAAAGAACTTTAAAAAGTTAATGGTAAAGAAATCCAATTAGAAAAATGGGCAAATTCTATGAAGAAACATTTAACCAAGAGAACATTCAGATTGCAAATAAGCATATGAATATATGTTCAGCATTATTATCTATAAGAAAAATGCAAATTAAAACCAGAATGAGATATCACTACATATCCATCAGAATAGATAAAACAAAGAATAGTGACAGTACTAAATATTTGCAGGGATGTGTAGAAACTGGGTAACTTCTATATTGCTGATTAAAATATAAAATGATATAGTTACTCTGGAAAACAATTTGGCAATTCCTTAAAAAAAATCTGAAATATACAACTAACATATTGACCCAATAATTGCACTCCTGAGCTTTAATCCCAGATTAATGAAACTTTGTATTCACACAACAATCTGTAAATGAATGTTTATAGTAGTTTTGTTCATAATAGCCCCAAACTGGAAACAACCCAGATATCCTTCAACAGTTAAACCAGTGTACGTCCATATCATGGGATACTACTCAGCAATAGAAAGGAACATATGATGGGGCCGGAGGTGGTGGCTCATGCCTGTAATCCCAGCACTTTGGGAGGCCGAGGCAGGCGGATCACCAGGTCAGGAGATCGGGACCATCCTGGCTAACACGGTAAAACTCCGTCTCTACTAAAAATACAAAAACAAAATTAGCCAGGCATGGTGGCAGGCTCCTGTAGTCCCAACTACTTGGGAGGCTGAGGCAGGAGAATGGCCTGAACCCGGGAGGCGGAGGTTGCAGTGAGCCAAGATGGCACCACTGCACTCCAGCCTGGGTGACAGAGCGAGACTCCATCTCAAAAAAAAAAAAGAAAGGAAAAGAAAAGAAAGGAACACATCATACTTACAACAACATGGAAAATTTCAAGAGCAGTACATGGAGTGAAAAAGCCAATCCCCTTAATTTATATACTACATGAATCTACTTATATAGCAATCTTGAAATGACAAAATTGTGGAAATGAAAAAAAGGTTAGTGGTTGTCAGGTATTAAGGAGCCTGTGGTATCAGAGTGAAGTGGGTATGGCTATAAAGGAGAAACATGAGGGATCCTTGCCATGATAGAATTGTTTTGTGTCTTGATTGTATCCATGTCAATATCCTGGTTGTGATATTGTACTATAGTTTGCAAGATGTTACCACTGGGGAAACTGAGTACATGGTATCTTTTTGTATTATTTCTTACAAGTACAGATGAATCTACACCTATCACAAAATAAAAAGTTTATATTAACAAATCTAGCTACACACACACACACAAATCTACCCACAAAAACAAGAAAACTAACTTCAAGAACATAAACAAAACCAAATACAAACACAAAAGCTCCTCACATTTTCACTGCTGTGTTGTACCAAATATCAAGAGATAATGCCTATCTTAGACAAACCATCCAAGAATAGAAAAATAAATCCTATCTTAGCCCAGAGCTATGGTTTAAATGTCTGTATTCCCGCAAAATTTATATGTTGAAATCCTTACCCTCAAGGCAATGGTATTAGGAGGTGGGGCCTTTTGAGGAACAATTAGGTCATGAAAGTGGAGCCCTCATAAGTAAGATTAGAGTCTGTATATATATAAAAGGCCTGAGGGAGTTTGCCTCTTTCACCATTTTAAGACACAGGGTGAATATGCCGTCTATGAACCAGGAAACAGGCCCTCACCAGATGTGAAATCTGTTGATGCCTTGATCCTGGCCTCCCCAGTCTCCAGAACTGTGAGAAATAAATTTATGTTGTTTATAAGCCACCCGGTTTATGACATTTTTTCTTAGCAGCCCTAACACACTAAGACAATAAGAGTCTGTCATAACTGTTTAACATATATCATATTTTGGATAATTCTGTTGTTTTCAATTCCTACTCTTGCTTGTTGAGGAATAGCACTGTATTTATATATTTATGCACCTCTCCTGATACTTGCTAAAACAAAGTCCTAGATGTTGAATTTCTGGGTTAAAGATTATGAAAAAATTGGAAAGCCTCTTGTTTCTTATTATAAAGTTACTTTTTATAAAAATTATACTAATTTAAAGTATCATTGAAAATGGTGAATTTCTGCTAATATTATTGCAGAACACTGGAGTTAACTGAAGGAGACCAACAAGGAGATGACATAAGAAATCTTAGGTATTTGGATATTACTTTAATCTCTGGTTGCATTTATTGGTGGTCTGGATTATTTCAAGAAAAAGCAGAAATCGCCTAGGCTCAGAGGTCACCAGTGCAAACTTGTCAGGAGTCAGGCAGTAAGTAACATGTCATATAGGTTTTGGGCAGTATAAATGTATCTAGCACCTCAGAAGGGAATAAGGCAAAGTTGGGAATGGAAATTTACTGAAATGAGACCACTTTTTCTCAATTCTGTTTAGAATTTTTTTCAATCACAGAGCTTCCAGGAAATCTCAGATAACCCAGTCCAACCACTTCACACTAAAGAGAAGGAAACTGAGAACCAGGAAATTTCAAGGATTATCTAAATTCACAGTTAGGTAATGATACAGCTAAAACTGTAACCCAGGCTGGCTGACTCATAGCTCTAAGAACTCTTTACCAGATCATGCTTTGGTTTGGTTTTGGCTCTGAGTCGTGAAAATATACAGTCAACCACAAACCAAGAGCATAAAAAGATTTAGATAAATTCTAAATGAAATCAAGTTGTCTACTCCAGTTAATTATTTGCAGTAGAAATTTATTTAATTTTCTTTAAAATGTATTTACATGAGTTTATTCTCTTGGCCTAGTAATACTGGGAATGGTTGAAGATGGAAATGACCATGATAGTGGAAGTGACCACATTGGTGAGTCAAAGCCAATGAGTAATTATACAGTTTAAAATAAAGGCAACATATACAGTTGACCTTTGTATTAGTCAGGGCTCTCTACTGGGAAGAATTAATAGGACACATATAAAGGGCAGTTTATTAAGGAGTATTAACTCACACAATCACAAGATGAGGTCCCACAATAGGCTATCTGCAAGCTGAAAAGAAAGGAAGCCATTCCAAGTCCCAAAGCTGAAGAACTTAAAGTACGATGTTGAAGGGCAGGAAGCATCCAGCTCGGGAGAAAGATGTAGGCTCAGAGGCTAAGCCAGTCTGATCTCTCCACATTCTTCTGCCTGCTTTTTATTCTGGCTGCGCAGGCAGCTGATTAGATTGTGCCCTTGCAGATTGAGGGTGGGTCTCCCTTTCCCGGTCCACTGACTCAAATGTTAATCTCCTCTGACAATACCCTCACAGATAAACCCAGCACCAATAATTTGCATCCTTCAGTCCAATCAAGTTGACACTCAATATTAAGCATCATAACCTTGAACAACTGGAGGGTTAAGGGCTCTGATCCTCCATGCAGTCAAGAAACAGCATATAGCTCTTGACTCTCCCAAAACTTAACTACTAATAGATTACTATTGACCAGAAGACTTACCGATAACGTTAACCAATTAACATTTATTTTGTGTGTTATATGTATTATGTACTGTGTTCTTTTTTTCTTTTTTTCTTTTTTTGAGACAGTCTCAAATAAGGTGCCATGAGTGCAGTGGCACGATCACGGCTCACTGCAGCCTGGACCTGCCGGGCTAAAGTGATCCTCCCACCTCAGGCTCCCAAGTAGCTGGGACTATAAACGCACACCACAGTGCCCAGCTAATTTTTATTTTTTTGTAGAGACATGGTTTCACTATGTTGCCCAGGCTGGTCTCAAACTTCTGGGCCTAAGAGATTCACCTGCTAGGCCTCCAAAAGTGCTGGAATTACAGGCAGTAATCATTGTGCCTGGCCTATACTGTGTTCTTATAATAAAGTAAACCAGAGAAAAGAAAATATTATTAAGAAAATCACAAAAAAGAGAAAATATATTTACTACTCATTAAGTGAAAGTGGACCATAAATAAACATCATTTTCATGTAGAGTTGGCTGAGGAAGTAGAGGAAGAGAAGGTTTTGATCTTGCTGTGTCAGGGTGGAAGAGGTGCAGGAGGCAGAAGTGGGGGAAGGAGAGGCAGGCACACTTGGTATAACTTCTATTGTAAAAAGTTCACATATAAGTGGACCCATGCAGTTCAAACCCATGTCGTTCCAGGGCCAACTATACTTCTTCCATCAGACACATGGATTATTACACAAGATTGTCTTCGAGGGCATCATTCCTTTGTGCAATACTAACTTCAATCTAGAGGTAGTTGATGTCTAAAGAAGCTAATATGTGTGTGTGTGCATATGTGCATATAATTTTTTTCTTCTTGGAGACAGGAATATATTAAAAATAAATACCTGAAAAAGATACAAGTAGAACCTAACAGTGAAATAGAGAACGTTTTGGCAAAGTCTTAGCAACTATCGCTTTATCCTGTGGAAAAAGCTCAAGGGTGTTGCAGAGACCTCCAAACTAGTAGGTCAAAGGAACCAACAAGGGAAATGTTAAATTGCTTTGCTCTCACCTGCCCTAAATTACTATTCACCATACCCCACAAGAGATAACAGCTATTAATAATATTTTTCCATTATTTTCAAAATAGCTTAAATACATATTTGGCTATGTTTGTCAAGCTAAATAAGCTATTTTTTGATGTGTACAGGGCATAAACACTTAAAAGACACTTAGAAAATGCTTTAACTCTTTCAGTAAAATTTAATGATCATACAACATACTATTTGTTTCAGATTATAAAATGTTCTATTGATGATATCTGAATGGAAACAAATTAATAATTTAGGATATAGCTTAGTTTTTGACTGTAGCATTTAGCCTTTTAGTTTTTAAATAATGGAAAGACATTAACATTAAAAACTCTCATCTATCTTGTAGCTGCATATCAAGTTTACTTAGGCAAACATATAGCTACAAATTCAGTAAGCTAACTGACAGATAGACTAAACATCAAATGTTAATTAGGGTTGCTAAAATCTTGGAAAATAAAAAATAATCCTTCAGGCAATATAGATAATTTATGTGGATATAACTAAGGGATGAATCTCTATTTTTTTATTGTAATAAGCTAGGAAAAAAGCTATTTTGCCCCTGATAATAACCAATGACAGACACTTTGAGGATAGCAGGCTTAGTATCAGGTAGTGGGAAGATAAACTTCAATAAGAAAGATACACTGTTGAAACTAATCCATGGTGAGAGTCAGGCCTAGAGGAAAAATTCTAGATAGTAATGTAAACCGTAAGAGCATTTAAAAATATTTGGAGGCAAGCATGAGAGCTGTAGGACTGAGTAGGAAAGGGTAAATGATAAAATTTTCAAATATGGAAGATGATAGATTTTTAGATATCATGAGCAGATGCAGTTGCATACACTATTCCTGAATTAATTTTAAAAAAAATCAAAGAAGCTGATCAATAGTATTAAATCACAAAATACAGAGATTGTTTCTGCTAATTAAATTATTTGAGCATTTCTTTTTTTTTTTTTAGGGGCATGCAAATTAACAATGAAATCACCATTTAAAAGGAGAAGAAAAGACCAAACTATCAACTGAATCTCTGAAAAATAAAAAATATGACCAGGGGTTGCAAGAATAGTCATTTATCATGTCAGCTCAATTCTAGTAGTTATATCCATGAAATAGAATATTAAGGTCACCATTTGACATAGAAGAAATTGGAAACCACCAGTGAGTGCAAATGTTCAAGAGGTCATTGCACATTAGATTTAAAGGTCTTTAATAACCGTGTGCAGATCACACGTAGAAGGTGATGTAATAACATCTCCCATGAGGTTACCTTAATAGAGAGAGTCGACCCCAAGTTGAGAAGCAAAACTTTGCAGTGATATTTCAGAAACTGTAATGCCAGTTTATCTGCATGAGATCCACTGTGTTACTAGCTACAGTTTTTTTTTTTTCAGCCCTTTTTGCTGCTGATTTGTGTTAAAGGTTTGTAAGTGGATGTGGGTTCCTTCTGGATTGGCTAATCTCTTGTATGTTGTAGAGTCTAACTGCACAGGTTTCCAAAATGGTGTTATTTTTGAAATGGATATATGTTCTGAATAGGTTGTTTGGAGAAAGCCTATTTCTATCATGCAATTGGTTTAGATTGGAAACACAACATGCATAAATTTTGTAATAACAATATGGATATAAAGTTGACCCTTGCACAACACGGGTCTGAACTGCAGAGATCCATTTATACACAATTTCTTTTTGAACCAAATACAGATTGAAAGTACAGTATTCCTGGAATGTGAAATCCATATTTACGGAGGGCTGATTTTTTGTATATATGGGTTCTGTGGGCGACTATGAGGCTTGTGCATACCTGGAGTTTGGCATATGTGGGGGGTACTAGAACAAATCACTTGCATATACCCAGGGAGGACTGTATATACTGAGATTTTAGAGTCTCCATGGTTTCAGTGAGCTTTCACTTTAAAAGTTTCAGATAAATCTTATACATTTTTAAAGCTGGTAATTCACAACGCAGGGAGTTTTAATTCAACCCTTTTCAACAAATGAATGAGTAGTTATAGGACCAAGGCTTTGAGTAGGAACTTCAGGGATACAAACAAGAATGAGAAAAAATTGTTTCTTTCATGATGCTCACCATCTTGAGGCAGCGAGATGACATAATGTGGAAATACTTACATACAGGGTAAAATTATGATATTTGGCTTCCTAGTACTATTTATGTGTTTTTTTATTTCCTGGTGACTTTTTGGTCTTCATTAAATGCTTTGATAAAAATAACAAAATGAAACATTTAAGCAAACATAAGTATTCATGTCTCTGACCAGGGGATATTAATAGAAAATTCAAAATAATGAATAATTGAAGAACTATATATATATTTGGCTCTAGAATTGTCTTTGTTCTTACTTATAAATAGTACTCTCATACCTGTCTCAGGTATACATGAAACTGCAAACAAAATAATAAATATTGTTCAAAGCTTGTTTATTATTTTAAATGGTAATACAGTTTATATGTTAATTTAAACATTTTTCAGGTTATTATACAATGAGCAAACAAACTGATTTAGAAAGGTCTTAATTTTTAAAGTTTTATTTTGTTTTTAATTGATAAATAATAATTGTATATATTTATAGGGTACAATATGATGTTTCCATACATGTATACATTGTGGAATGCATCAAGCTAATTAGCATATTCATCACCTCAAATATAATTTCTTTGTGGTGAGATCATTTAAAATCCTCCCTGTTAGCTATTTTGAAATATACAGTACATCATTTCATATTAACTGTTGTCACTGTGCTGCGCAATGGAACACCAGAACTTACTCCTCTTACCTAACTGAAACTTTATACCTCTTAACTCATATCTCCCTTTTCTCCAGCCACACCAACTCCAACCTTTGGTAGCCACCATTCTACTTAACCTCTATGAATTTTACTTTTTAGATTCCACATGGGTTCATACTGTATTTGTCTCTCTGTGCCTGGCTTACTTTACTTATAATGGCTTCTAGATTTATCCATGTTGTCACAAATGAACAAAATTTTAGTTTCTTAAAGACTGAATAGCATTCTATATACTATTAGTATTATAGTATACTATCCTATAATAGCATAGTATATTGTGTTAGTATTTCATATGGATATATATGTATACACATACCACATTTTAAAAATCCATTCTTCTGTGTTGGACACTAAGGTGGTTTCCATATCTTGGCTACTGTGAATAATGCTGCAATGAACATGAGAGTGCAGTCATGTCTTTGACATACTTATTTCAGTTCCTTTGGCTATATACCCTGTAGTAAGATTATTGGATCATACGGTAATTCTATTTTTAGTTTTCTGAGGAACCTCCATACTGTTTTCCACAATGGCTGTATTAATTTAAAATATCAGTACTGGGAATAAGGATTATTTTTCTTTTGCATCCTCTCCAGCACTTGTTATTTTTCATCTTTTAATAGTAGCCATACTAACAGATGTCAAGTGATAGCTCATTGTAACTTAATTTGCATTTTTCTAATGATTAGAGATGTTGAGTATTTTTCTCATGTATCTGTTGGCCATTCATATGTCTTTTTATGAGAAATGTTTACTCAAGTCTATATTAGTCTGTTCTCATGCTGCTAATAAAGACATACCCAAGACAGGGTAATTTATAAAGAAAAAGAAGTTTAATGGACTCATGGCTCCATGTGGCTGGGGAGGCCTCACAATCATGACAGACGGCAAAGAAAGAGAAAAGTCATGTCTTACATGGCAGCAGCCAAGAGAGAAGTGAGAACCAAGCAAAAAAGGTGTCCCCTCATAAAACCATCAGATCTCGTGAGACTTATTCACTACCATGAGAACAGTATGAGGGAAACTGCCCCCATGATTCAATTGTCTCCCACTGGATCCCTCCAACAACACGTGGGAATTATGGGAGCTACAATTCATGATTAGATTTGGATGGGGAAACCGCCAAACTATAACAAAGTTATTTGCCCATTTTTAGATAGGGTTATTTGTTTTCTTGTTATAGAGTAGTTTAAGTTCCTTGTACATTTTGCTTATTAGTCCCTTTACTGATGTATGATTTGAAAATATTTTCTCCCAATCTGTGGGTTGTCTTTTGACTTTATCAATTGTTTTCTTTGCTGTGGAAAAACTTTTTAGTTTAATGAAATACCATTTACCTATTTTTACTTTCATTGCCAGTGCTTTTTGGGGTCATATCCAAACATCATTGCAGTCCAATGTCATGGAGCATTTCCCTTCTGTTTTGCTCTACTGGTTTTATAGTTTTTAGGCCTTGTGTTTAGGTCTATAATCCATTTTTGTGTTGATTCTTGGATAAGGCTGAGATAAGGGTCTATTTTCATTCTTCTGTATATGGATATTCAGCTTTTTCAGCACCATTTGTTGAAGAGATTGTCCTTTCCCCATTGTGTGCTTGTGGCACCAGAAAGATCTTAATTTTTAATTATTAGTCTAAATGATATGTGCCTACTTTAAGAAGAGGAATATCCTAATTTTAAAAACTTCATATAACAGGCTAATTACCAGAAAATTTTTCTCAGTCTTTATTTATTGCAAAAGTAATCTTATAAGTAAGCATGGATTCTATAATGATTGACTTGAGAATTTTGAGCTGGACGAGCAGTTGAAGACTTCTTTGAGGGAAATGATAGAGATCAAGCAAAATAAAGAAGTAATAAAAATCAAGATCCCAATAAAATAAAGAAATAGTAAAAATAAAGGTAAATTAAAATAACGTATTATATTATTTTTGTGAGACAGTGTTCAAATTTTAATCATATCATTCAATTAGAGAAGTGGTCAAACATAAAAATGAAATTCGCTGAAGAAAAATACCAAACAATCAAAAGAAACAAAGTATATCGTAGGAATAAGGATGAAAGTTACATAGTAATGTATTGAGATCTAGACAATACTTGTCAATTATATTCGATCACTAGTCTATAATTTAAGCCTCTCAGATTAAAAGAGAAAACAAAAAAGGAGCAAAGTTATTTAAATGAAGCTTTCTGTTTAATACTTCTAAATTGTTTGAGTTTCATTCATTTATTCATTCATATACTGTGCCAGATAATGATACTACAGAAATGGGTAAGACCAATATGGCATTTCTATTTGTGGAGCTTAAAGTCACAGATACACAGTGCATATATGAGTAATAAAATAAATGCTTATGTAGTTAAAAATACTGATGAGTGATAGAAAGGTAACAAACAAGATGTTTTGATGCAGAATAAGAGGTGGTTACATACTTTAAATGGGGTGGTAAGGGAACGCCTCTCTGAGGAGGTAATGTTTAAGTTAATAAATGACAAAAAGGAGCTAGAAATTTGAAAGTCTGTAAAAAGAGCATATTCCAGGTTAGAGAAGTACAAGGGCTAAATCCCCAAGACAGAAACTAGATTGGTTCCTGGAAGTAGGGACAGTTGCTGTAGCAGAAGATGTATTAATAAGAGAGAATAGGGAAGGTAGGTTTTTACATACGAAGAAATGTACAGAGAAAGACATATGAACCTACATATCAATAAGTGATTATTAAAATAGATAAAACAGACCCTAAAAGTCTGAGTCCTTTCTGCTTAGTCCAGATCTAATTTCTCCTAGATGGACAACATATTCCTCTTCTATGCCAATAAAGGGGTTGGGATAAATTAAGCATCCCAAAAATGTATTGGTATGTTTGTTTTTTGTACGTTTCACCATATTTGCAACATTTAGGATTCGTGAAATTTATATTATGGGGAGGCCTTAAAAGACCTAAGACCTTGTCTACATAACTTCTTTAGATTGCATACAATTTCAAAATTGCCATTCCTTCTCAAGTTCCTGGAGATGAATTACCAGTTTGGGTGGTCACATCATATTACATTTTCAAGGATCAAAGAAGGGTCTTGACCACAGTTCTAGTTGTCTTATTTTTCTTAGGTACTGTGCCTCTGGGACTTATTGATTTGCAAGGGTGTCCTACTTCAAGCTGATTTTAGAAACAAAGTAATTTGTTACATTTTTAGAAACATATCTGCAGAATTGGGCCATGGCAGAGTAAAACAAATGACTTATCAAAGTAAGACCAAAATAAATAAAGAAAGAGAAAGTGAGAGAGAGATCCAATAACAAATTAACATCAATGCTTCCCCTCCTTATCTCCTTTGTCCCATCAGTCTCATCAGTAGTAAGAATAAAGTTCTCCTTTTTCTTTTCTTTCTTTTAATGGAAACAGTTGAAGAACAGGAACTTTAATGTCCATGTGGGGATCCAAACACTGATACTCCAGAGTCTTACCAGAGAATCGTCTTTGGGATTGGTGGCATAGAACTACCATATAGGTGAGTCCTTTTTGTTAAAACATGTTCCTTTCAATACATCAGAAAAGAAACACTTTTAGAGGGAGCTTCAAACTGACCTGATTCTGTTAATTTCTATTTTTTTTTCACAGAAGTTCTATTGTGTTCTTAATAAGAATAAATTCCTCCAAAAATTCTGGGCACTGTTTCAAAGGAAAATCTTCAGAATTCCAGAGAAGGTTTATGAGATGGCTATGGGTAGTTAAGACATTCAAGTGTCTCTTAAGCTATTAGAGAGTGTGCCTGTGTGCACCAGCAGCAGGATACAGAGCATGCAGCCATGGCTGCTGACTGCACAGGTTTCAAAGATAAAGTGGAGCATGTGGACATTTAGGCGCTGACTCCAGCTAAATTGGTTAATGACTAGTATCATCTAAATGAGGTAGCAAGCTGAAAGACTCATAATCTCTCCCCATGCGCAGATTTTAATTAAATAATTATAATGTCCTTGTTGCAATTATTTATCAGTAACTGTGCTCCTGAGTATTGCCTCTTTTGCCTTCATCTGTTCTGCCAGCTCAGCTGAACAATGAAACATTCACTTGGCAAAGGCGAGAAAAAAAATGAATGATTTTTATTCACCACAAAAGAACACTTCAAGGATTGGGCCAGTGAGGCAGGATTCTAGGCTCTTCATCATGGATAACTTTGTGCTTTTAGAAGAGGAAACGCCAGTTTCCTCATCTGTAATATGACTGGGTTAGAGTTTATATATATATATATATATATATATATATATATATATATATATATATATATATGTTCTTTTCTATTCTTCAAATACTGGAATCTCTGAGAAGTTTCAAGATTATGACCAGAGTCATGGTTCCTGAGTATCTACAATATAACATTATAATAATTATATCCCACAAAGAATGACATTGAAAAACACGTTATTTCCTGCTTTGGGACTGTGGAATGTATAGCCTATATAACATAATACATGTCTTAAATACTGAAATTTGTATGTGTTGAGAAAACAAAATTAACTAAGTTACAGTTTTATATTAATAATATTCATGATATTCAGAAGAGGGCAGTGGAACTGATTTGTGGGTCAAGAATGGGGCTGTAGAGGAAAATAGGATATGATCATTTAAAAGAAAGCAAGATCTCTATAGTAGCCTTTGTGTTTTTTTCTCTAAGAAACATACCTTAGTAAATAAGTATTCCCTTTCTTTATTTCTTAGCTGTAATAAGTGAGAATTAATTTTAATAAAAGGATCTGTATGGTGTGAGCAGGGTTTGTGAAGCATTATGAAATGCTTGTCTTTAAACCCCTCCTCTCTCCTGTATTCTTCCTCTCCTGCACCCCAATCTATTCTGATTGTACTTTCCTGTTATCTGAGGTATTAGCAAAATGTAGCTTGATATCGCACCCTGACCAGAGGCTTTGCATTTAGTGTGGAAATCTTAAAGATGAAATTACCTCACCAACTAAAGGAATAATTAGGGGTAATGATTTTTTTAATTGCATAGGTTAATTTATTTGTCCAAGGAAGTTATTGAAGTCTGAATCAGAAAGATCATCACTAAATATGACTACATATATTTAAGATAAATCTGACTTAGAAAGGTTTTAGGCAACAGGGAAGACAGAACAAAGTTATGAAATTTTATTTATATGCATGTTATGGGTGTGTCTGTATAAAGTTGAACCCAGAAAATATGTAGCTCCTTTAATTTCTCTTAATAATGTTTTGTACTTTTTTGTGTAGTCTTACTTATTAGAATTACTCTTAGATTTTCATTTTGAGAACACATAGATGTCTAGTTATTCCAGCACCATTTGTTGAAAAGATTATTTTTTCTCCATTGTATCACCTTTGTTCCTTTGTCATAGATCAGTTAACTATATTTGTGTAGGTCTACTTTGAGGCTGTCTGTTCTGTTCCATTGATCCATTTGTCTATTCTGTCATGAATACCACATGGTCTTGATTACTGTAGCTTTATGGCAAATCTTGAAGTTGGGTAGTGCCAGTCCTCCAACTTTTTTCTTTTCTTCAACATTGAGTTGGCTATTCTGAGTCTTTTGCATCTCCATATTAAAATTAGAATCAGTTTATCGATCTCCACAAAATAACTTGCTGGGATCTTTATTTGGATTAAATTGAATCTACAGATCAAGTTTGGAAGAACTGACATCTTGACAGTCTTTAATCTTCCTATCCATGAACATCGAATATCTCTTCATTTATTTAGTTCTTTGATTTCTTTTATCAGATTTTTATAGTATTCTTCAAATAGATCTTGCACATATTGTGTTAGATTTACACCTAAATATTTATTTTGTGGGGTCTTAATGTAAATGGTGCTGTGTTTTAAATTTCAAGTTCTACTTGTTTATTGTTGGTATCGGGAAAGTGGCGACATTTGTACCTTAGCTCTGGAAATTCTTTTGGCTAATAATTTCTTGAAAATTTTTATATCTGTAGTCATGAGATAGATTATCCTATAATTATGCTTTCTTACAATGCTTTTGTCAGATTTTCATCTCAAAGTTATTTGCCTTATATGTTGGGGAACGTTTCTTCTTGTTCTATGCTCTGAAAGAGTTTCTGTAAGTTTGGTGTTACTTCTTATGTTGGAAATATTTACTGCAGATGCCAATAGAGCCTAAAATTTTCTTTTGAGAAATGTTTTTAATTACACATGTGTTTTTTTAATTGGATACCAAGTAATTTAGATTTTTTATTTCATTCTGGTCAGTTTTCAAAAATTGTATTATTTTAGGAGTTCTTTGTTCATAAAAAGTCTCAGATTTATTGGCATAAACACATTCAAATTATCATTTTAGAGATACCCCACAAGATGTGATATATGTTTGCTTTATTATCCAGTCAAAATATTTTCTAACCTTCCTTGTGATTTCTTTTATCCAGTGATTATCCAGAAATAATTGCTTAATATTTAAACATTTGGATGCATTTCTAGTTGCCCTCTTTTTTTTTTCTTGCTCTGTCACCCAGGCTGGAGTTCAGTGGCACAATCTCAGCTCACTGCAACCTCTGCCTCCTGGGTTCAAGCAAGTCTCCTGACTCAGCCTCCTGAGTAGCTGGGACTACAGGCATGTGCCACCACCCTTGGCTAATTTTTGTTTTTTTTTTTTTTTTTTTTTTAGTAGAGACAGAGTTTTACCATGTTGGCCAGGCTGGTCTTGAACTCCTGACCTCGTGATCCACCAGCCTCGGCCTCCCAAAGTGCTGGAATTACAAGCATGAGCCACTGTGCCTGGCCTCTAGTTGCCTTTTATATATTTCTTACTGATATTTAACTTTATTTCACTGTGCGATTTTAATCTTAGTTTGTTAGAGAATTGATACATTTCAGAATAAGGTAAATTTTGTTAAATGATTTCCATGCACTCAAAAATATTCTGCAATTGTATTCAGTGTTCCCTATATGTTCATTATGGCCAAGTTTGCTTATTATAATTAGTCATGGTTTTATCTACATATTCTTTCAATAACTGAGGAAAGTGTTAGAATTTTCTTGTAACTTGACTGTAGATTTTACTGCTTTTTATTTATGTAGCTTTCTTATTTATAGTTTTGAAACTATTATCAAGTGCATACAAATTTAGAACAATTTTCCCTTCATGGTAGAAGATAACATTAGGAAATATCCTATTTATT